>NC_000007.14:152185652-152337167 GCF_000001405.40 Homo sapiens
TAACACTTTCTCAGAGCCATGCTAATGATGTGTTGTAATAAAGAATGTTGATGAACTGCTGACAGTTAATCTTATTCAGGCCGTATTCTCATGAGGTCATAGACCTATATTAAGTTTTTTACAAAGAACAAAGATCGTGGCACACTGTAGGCCAAACAAACGTTTTCTAAATGAAGTGCTGCCTTATTAACAACGTAGCTTGTAAAGTTGGGAAGTTTTTAGATTCAAGGGACAAAGTAGCAAAAATGCAAGCCAGACATAATAAATTCCCTCTGGTGGTAAGACACCACCAGAACCAAAGTACAAGTTTGTAAAACATCTGTGCTAAACAGAAATCTATCAATTTGACCTACCAGAAGTAAACAAAGTCATAAATAAGCATCTCACTAGCATTTGTGGACAACAAACACATGGAAAAGTAATGAGTTCAAACCATTTATATGAAACTCAGTGTCATGACGGTATACAAAATGAAGAAGCCTGGGTAAGATCAACAGTTAATGATAAATACAGAAATTATTTATTCCACATTACAAAAAGAAAGCAAGCTTCCAAAAAGCCAATGAAAATGAAAAATCAGTTCACAGACCAACAGCTTTAACACAGTATTTCATGAGGTTCTTGAATCACAAAGTAAAATTATTAAAGAAAATTACTTTTAAAAAAGTTACAGCTCTGCTGTAAGGACAATTTGTGCTGACACAAAATGACAACATACCCATGTACGTTCATAAACAGCAAATGTAAGCATGGAAAGAAAGTGGCTGAAGAATGGGATACTGCCTTCACAGGTCTCCCTGCATCAAACCACTGATTTCTATTGTTAGATAAAAAGCATTTCATTTATTACAATACATAATGAATAAAGTCCCATGAAGACGCCAATCCAAAAAGGTACCTAAATACAGGGGTCATCCAAATGAAAAGTCACTTCCAGGTACCCCTCTAGTAATTTAAGAGTTTGTGTATTGATAGATAGCTGGGAAACTATTGCAAAACTGAGTTTGAATAACTTTTTCAATCCTAGTTTGTCTGATACCATGAACTCAAAATAATAAAACCGCATTGCTTGCATATATTCAATAATTGACATTTCATTAATCCAAATTTCTCATTCACTGGTTAATCAGAATTTTCACAAACTGTACTATTATCATCTGTTTTTTTCAAGAGGCAGTGGTAATAGCTGGGCAGTCAGGGAAAGTGAGAGGGGAAGAAGGGAAGACAATATTGAATTCGTTTCATAAAAACACTATTTAGGATTCACTGATTTAGCCTAGCAGTATTTTTGATTAAATGATAGTTTGGGTTCTAGAAATTTTTTAAAGAATCACATAACACGGATTTCTGCATATTAATAAGTACTGCTAGGAGCTGAAAAACGGACCATTTCACTAATTGAAACTAATTTTTGGGAAATATGAGGATGGATGCAGGGTCTAGGACAAAGTAAAATGCAAGATGTTTCTAGACATCTAGGGAATCTTCATGTTGTGGGTCATCATAGACAAAAATTAGTTAAGCTACCTTTCTATTGCAGTTAAAAAAAAAAAAGGTATTGCACATGTGAAAATGTTGGTAAAACAGAAATAATATATTCATGGCTTACCAGGGAATTCTTCCTTTAAGTTGGGGAAATTAATATTGGTGTAGAGAACTGGGGCAACAGTTGCCATTTCACCCAGAGCCTCCTCTTTCTCCCACTTAAGCGTGCTTCTCTGGGCATTCGACATTGTGTCATTTTCTCCTTCCACAGTGGGAGCTGATGATGTCCAAGAGTTGTTAGGATCACTTGCCATTGGATTAAAGGCTGAATTTTTATCCCTGGGAAAAAATAAATATCTTTACTTTATGAACATAAAATAACTTCTTAATATATGTTCAAGTATAGCTTTCATTAAAACCTATTACAAAACAGTTAAAAGTAACATATTTATAGCAAAAGCCACAATAAACGCAACATACAATAATATCATACACAATCATTTAAGCAGACTAATTTATATATAAATCAAACAGAAATTAGTGCAATTTAAGTTTCCATAGAAAATAAGGCTTGTACCTGGCATCAGGATAAGAGGATTGTGCAATTGCAGAGAAAGTTCCCAGTCCGCTTCCAGGTGGCAAAGAATTATGTGGGAGATGAGGACTGGATCCAATAAGGCCATTCATGAGAGGCATCCGTGAAAAAGCATCTTCAGAGAAAAAAATAATTCCGTTGGCATGATATTCACAAGTAACAAGGAGTTGAAGTAAAGCTGGCCCTTGAACAACATGGTTTTTAACTGCATGGGTCCACATAAACACACATTTTTTTCAACTGAATGTGGATAGAAAACACAGGGAAACCCATGCATAGAGAGGACCAACTTTTCTTGTATGCCAAGCTCCATAGGGCCAACATTTGACTTCTGTATTCTCAGATTTTGGTTATACCTGGGGGTCCTGGAACCAAAGCCCCAAGTACAGAAGAGATGCTTATACTTCTAAATCAAAACCTTTAATGCAATTTAAAAGTAGGATTTTTTTCAGTATTTTATAATACTTAAAGAGTGACTTTTGGCTATAAGATTTTGAAATATGATCTCTACAGCTGTGATTATTTCATTATTGTGTACTAGAAATAGCAAGTGTTCTGGAGTCCAAAAGCCCAGGGTGTGAACCTCAATTTTACCTGTTAGAAGCAGAATCAATTTCTATTTCTGTAAACCGTAGGTATTCTGTTATTTGGGTTAATTGAGATAATGTATGTACAGCTCTAAACATAGTTCCTGGTATGCAGTAACTATTCGACACAATTAACTCCTAAAAAACACTAATGAATCACAGCAAATGCTAGTAAGTTTTATCAAATATTCTTTCTCTTCATTAAAAATTTACAAACAGATGTTTCTTATATTTTATTCCTGTTCCTCTTAATACCAAAAAAAAAAAAAAATCTATGATTCTTTCCTTTTTTTTTTTTTTTTTTTGTTTTTGAGATGGAGTCTCACTCTGTCGCCCAGGCTGGAGTGCAGTGGCAAGATCTCAGCTCACTGCCACCTCTGCCTCCCAGGTTCAAGCAATTCTGCCTCAGCCTCCTGAGTAGTTGGAATCACAGGCACTTGCCACCATGCCCAGCTAATTTTTGTATTTTTAGTGGAGGTGGGGTTTCACCATTTTGGCCAAGCTGATCTCAAACTCCTGCCTCAAGTGATCCACCCACCTCAGCCTCCCAAAGTGCTGGGATTACAGGTGTGAGCCACTGTGTCCACCCCACCTATGATTCTTAAATTGATACTTTCTCTAAATTAGTTTTGAGTAAGCAATATATCTATCACTAAAAATCAGATGATTATTCCTAAAAATACATACACTCTGGTTTTGGCCTAATTTTTATAACTTACAGTTCAGCCCCCAAACACATTTGAATTCTCATTCGAGCTTATTCACAAACATCAAATACCTTATCGTTTTCTTTCTGAATAGACATTAGGCAAATAAAAGGACCATCTTATGCTTCTTTACAACACTCCTTTAAGCATGTAACTCCAGTCCTTATTGTGAAAGTCTACTTGTCTAAACTATTTGGAACTAAGCCAACTGTCCATATTGGAGCAGTTTCCAGAAAAAAGAAAGAACAACAACAACAAAAACTTTGTTTACCTTCAAAAAGCCCTCCCAATTAAACTTGATGATTTGTGGAAATACACAAGGCCTCTGTTAATTGTTGCAACACTTAGAGCCATACTATTACAGGAGATCCACATCACCAATTAATTACACAAATGGCAATACAGAGTTGACCAATACTTGGTATAACTAGAGAATTCCTAACCTGATCACTTGATTTTTTTTTATCTAATGTCATTCCATTAGATTAAAAAAAAAGTCTCATACACGTACATTTTACAATGTATAATGATCTTTCACTTAAACCACATCATTTGAATGTTACAACACTAAAACCTACATAGCTCCAGTATGTATGTGCAGATACTAAGGATGATCACTGACAAGTTTAAAAGATTTTGTCTCAAAGACTTCCTAGAACTCTCTGACTTTCACAAACGGGCTTACCCTACTAAATGCCACAGCTGGGTCCACTGGATCAGGTTTTCACAATGACAAATATCTCATGACACTTACATTTACTCCAAGGATTAAAGGGCAAGATTTCTGCTTTTTTCAAACTAGAATGCCACATCTATTTTCAACTTCAGTGAAAAGCAGGTTCCATTAAGGCAGGGGTCCCCAACTCTGGGGCCACAGACTGGTACCAGTCCATGACCTGTTAGGAACCCGGCCGCACAGTAGGTGAACAGCGGGCAAGTGACCATTACCGCCTGAGCTCCACCTGTCAGATCAGTGGCGGTATTAGATTCTCATAGAAGCGCAAACCCTATTGTGAAGTGTGCATGCGAGCATGTTCCTATGAGAATCTAATGCCTCATGATCTGAGGTGGAACAGTTTCATCGCAAAACCATTCCCCAACCCACCAACCTGGGTTTGTGAAAAAATGGTCTTCCTTGAAACTGGTCCCTGGTGCGAAAAAGGCTGGGGACTGCTGCGTTAAGGAATGTGCAATTTTAATAAACAATATCAAATGTCTTTCATGTAATTAGGAGAAACAAGAGTTTATTGACAAGGAGAATGTGATCCATACTGTAGCTAGGTATCAGTGCCATCTACCGATATTACAATAATAATCTTGTAATAATCTACAATATTAACATATTGAAACTTTTCCCAATAGTAATATTAGCTATTATTTGTTAAGTACTTTATGCTATGCTAAGCACTGTCTTAAAAGCTTTACAGCTTCATGAAAACCCACTGAAATAGGTTATTATGTTCAGCTCCATTTAAGCAAAGAGGACCCACAGAAATTAAATAATTTGTTCAAGGACAAATAAGTAAAAGCAAAGTATTTCTTCTTATTTTATTCAAGAAGTGGTCTTTTTTTTTTCCAAGTCTACCATATCTACCCAAACTAGTCATATTAGTTTATAAAAGTTCAAAAGTTACTTCACAACTTTTACATAAAGGTATTTCAAGTTACTCTATCTCAATCTTGAAAATTCTATTCTCTACTTTCTGAACTTTATTACCATCAGACAATAAAGCATATTACATATTACATAATAACATATTACACTTTGCCTCCCCTTTCTCATCAATTCTATTGAAGTTACTCCACTGAAGATTAGC
Organism: Homo sapiens; assembly: GCF_000001405.40. Classification (NCBI taxonomy): domain Eukaryota; kingdom Metazoa; phylum Chordata; class Mammalia; order Primates; family Hominidae; genus Homo; species Homo sapiens. The sequence goes on from NC_000007.14 coordinate 152,190,844, forward strand.
AACAACCTTCCCATGGTCCAATGAAACAATGTTTTTCAAGTAGTCATGTTACTTAACTGTACAACCTGTCTCTAATGATCATTCATTTCCAAGATCCTATACCTCTCACTCAATGTCTCAAATCTCTCACCACTTTTTTTACTTTCACCTAACCTTTAAAAGGAAGAAAGATAAGAAACATGTAATTGCACACCTAATATAAATCAGATGAGTTAAGCATATACTTAATTACATTTAATTAAAAAGCATTCCTCGAGATTCTATACTCTACTGGCAGTATATTCTCTTAATAAATCTCATCCTTCCCACATGTGCAATTAGCACAATTACACAGATAATTCCTACATTTTCATCCATCTCCTTGACTAACTGCAACTGCCTGTAAGTCAAAATAGTGTATATGTCCCATTTCTACCAACCTAAAAGAGGTCTAAAACTAAATTCATTGTACCTCCACTACCTTCTACCAGCACACACACTAAGTCTTCCTCTGTTTCATGATTATCCTCTGGGCCCCTGGTTTATACATAGTCTAATTCACTTTAATTTCCCCCTTTCCTCACACCTTATATCCATTCAGTAGCACAGTCCTACTTGTTCTAATGTCATTTTCTCTCGTATCTATTCCTTCCTTTCAATCAGCACGGAAGTATCTTTACATGGAACCTACTTTTTAACTTAGTCTCAACCACAATAACCTCATTAGTACAATTCTTCTCGTCCCAAATTTATTCCCAATATTGACACCAGAGCTACCTTAGCAAAACACATAAGTGATCAGATCACACCAGTGGTGTAAGGTCTTCAAAGGCTCTTGGAAGCCTCTAGGGAAAAGGCTAGCTGCCTCTGCCTATTTCTCAGAGCCCTTTACAATCAGCACCAATGTCCACTTCTAGTTTTGCTTCCTTAAACAATGCCCACTCCCTTTGCTCTGGAAAACATTAAAGTTGCCATTCTTGAATAACTATGTGTCGCCCTATATGTAACTTGATCATGCTTTGCCCTTACATTAGAACTACTATTCCTTCAAACAAGAACAATGAAATCTTAGTGATTCACAAGGCTGTACTTGAATTATACTGTACTATAATACACATTAGTTGTATACCTGAAAGTCTACAGTATTAGAATTACAAACTCCTAAGGGTAGGCAACCTGATTCACCTTGTATTACACATTAACACCTTGCAAAAGAAAAAAAAAAAAAGAAAAAGAAGTCATCCTCCCAAGACCTTTTAAAAATGAGACTGCACAATGAAGTGATTTTCATAATGATTGTAAGATGTTTTTTATAAAGAAATACATCTTTGATTTTTAAAATATGCACTTTCAGTTCAGAAAACATAAAGACAGGTCATTTTTATATGTTGAAAAGAGAAATACTGAATAGTTCTTAATCGTTAAAACAGCATATGGGGGCTGGGCGCGGTGGCTCACGCCTGTAATCCCAGCACTTTGGGAGGCTGAGGCAGATGGCTCACAAGGTCAGGAGTTTAAGGCCAGCCTGACCAAGATGGTGAAACCCCGTCTCTACTAAAAATACAAAAAATTAGCCGGGCACAGTGGCAGGCACCTGTAATCCCAGCTACTCGGGAGGCTAAGCCAGAAGAATCGCTGAACTCAGAGGGCAGAGGTTGCAGTGAGCCGAGATCACGCCACTGCACTCCAGCCTGGGCGAAGGTGTGAGACTCTGTCTCAGAAAAAAAAGAAAAAAAAAAAGCACATAGGAACAATTAAGGCAAGAATAGTTATATGATAAGTATATTACCCAAATGTAAATCACATGTTTAGCCTAGCAAAAATCAAGGTAAATTTATGTTTAGAGGCTAAACTGGTAAAAACACAAATATTTCCATTATGTGCATTATGGAATTTTCATGTATATACAAAGTTGTTAGTAAAGGTTACAAATTATTCACACACTTTGGCACTTACACAAGAAAAGGAGAAGATATCCTCATGTTATTCAATTCAGGGTATAGTCATGAGGCAGTGACAATAGGATAGAGAGAGATGTTCCTATGCTCAAATCATCAGAAATATATACTAGCTGCGCACAGAGGGCCACGCCTGTAATCCCAGCACTTTGGGAGGCCATGGTGGGAGGATCACTTGAACCCAGGAGTTCTAGACTGGCCTGGGCAACAAAGTGAGACCCCCACCTCTGCAAAAAATCAAAAAATTAGCCAGGCATGATGGCGTGTGCCTGTGGTCGCAGCTGCATGGGAGGCTGAGGACAGTAGGATCGCTTGAGCCCAGGAGATCGCAGCTGACGTGAGTTGTGTTCACACCACTGCATGTCAGCCTGGGTGACAGAGCGAGACCGTTTCAAAACAAAACAAAAATACATATAGATAGAGTTATATACACGCCACCATGCAACTCCATAAACTCCTTCCTATAGATTCCCATACCTGTACCAATTTCCCTATCTACTCATACAGACCTTAATCCTAGGCTATCAAATTTCAGCTCTACAGAAAAGGGGAGAAATTGGTAGCTAGTTGTAAGTAGGCAGAAGAAAAATGAACAAAATAGGCAAACATTCACAAAATTTCATAGTGTCTACAGGGATAGAAAGGTCACTGATTTACTATGAAAGTATGTACTGAACACATACTCTGTGGCAGGGCATATAAGCAAGACATGGACAACTCTAGCCTTTAAAGAGCTCACAATCTAAAGGGAAGACATAATTACCCAAACAGGTATTATATTTGTGCCATATGCTACAAATGAAAAACATGGGGGTGGGGTGGTGACCAGCTAACCTCTGAGAGATGACAGTGAAACCGAGGGCAGATCAATGAGTACAGGCAGCCAGGTGAGCGGGGACAGTTCCACACACACACACACAGCAAGTGCCTATGTGGCAAATGACTAGAGTGGAGTGAGCTGGGAATGGGACTTGCAGGGAGGGAAGAGGGCAGGCACTGTTACATCCTCCCCACTGGACATAAGGATAATTACAGAATTACAGAGAATTTCAGGGAGACCGCTATGTGAAGTCAGTATTTTTCAATCATTACAAAAGGGTTTTTCTCCCTATCAGTTTGTATACGTGGCTACTAAAGAATAGGGCAAAACTTGCTTGTGTGTGTATATGTACCCACATATATACACATGTGTGTGAATATAATGTAGAATTATAAAGTCATAACATACCCTGATTGTGTATTGGCAACAGCTGTGTTGGTGGGGGAGGCTGTGGCAATGGAGTTGGCTGAGTGTTCGCAGGACTAAGTACAGCTGTAAATAAGTCTTCAACATCTTTTCCGCCAAGCTCTAGGAGATAAAACAATAATAGTAACAAGATTAAAAGACTAGTAGGGTCCTGGTATGGGGAACGCCATTTTCATTAACTAGAAAATCAAAACACATTTACCTGGAATTTTATATAATTTTCCAAGAATTGCTCCTAGAATAAATTAAAAAAAAAAAAGAAACATTAACAGCTACTAATTCAATATACTGATATAAAATAGTATTTAACTGACAGAAATAATTAGAAGTTAAATTATAACCATGCAAAAATCTTTAAAAATCATATTTACTCAGGTCTTTTAGAAAGCCTAGATGTAGGGCAAATATTTTACCATCTGTGACCATTTTGTCTAGTTCAGGACTGAGGATCCCATCTAGCTGTTCTTCACTTAATGGTCGTGAACTCTGATTGACATTTGGCTGAGGCAAAGAGGAAGGATCATCAGTGACAGGACCAATATCTACAAGAGTAAGGAAAATAAATTTAAAGGTACATTCAGAATACTCACACAAAAATGTATAGCACTATTTACCTGTACTTAGTATATAACAATATGATTAAAATAGAGAAATAAAGTCTGTAATTCTGAATCAGAATTCTCATATCAATTTGGAGAGTCGCTCAGTAAAAATTAGGCACAATATATTTGTATTCGGTGCCATGTAAAGTTCTATTTCAAGTAAAAACATTTCCTGAGGAATAAAAGAATACATCTGATTTTAACTTGCCAACTCCTGCCAAAAAAAAAAAAAAGCTTAAGATAGGAGTTTATGAGAAATCGATATGCAAATAATTGCTTTAATTTGGAAAATAGTGTTATCAAATGTACAGTTCAATTATTATGCACAGTATGTAAAAAGGAATATGTTTCATATGAATTAATGAAAAGCCCTAAAATGCTCAGTGTTTAATATTATCCTTTGTAAATAACTTCAATTATAGGTAATATTTTTAAAGTATTCTATAGGCACATTCTGATTATGTACATTACATTTTATAAAATTGTAACATGCTGCAGCTCAAATTTGTAAGAGTCACATGTAAAAGTGGTTTATCATCTACATTTTTTTCATGCTTTCTCAATATTATTACTATTAAAAAGTAAAAATTTAGTCTGTTCTTATTTGATCTTATATTAGGAACTAGCTCTACGACATTTAGGTAATATTGTAAACCACATATTAACAAAAATAAAATTATTCATTAAAGAAAAACTACTGAGAAAGTCACCCGAAGTACAGTACAGCTATACTATGCTTTAGCCACACACAAAAAGGGAAAAGCAAAGTATGGATTAGTGACAAATTAGCACTACTGATAAACAGCATGCACCTACAGGTTGTTTCAGCTGAAATCACTATAAAAAAAGAAGACTACTTCTAGTCAGCCGTCATCCATTGCTCAGTTTCTTACCAAATGGAAAAGGTGAGCTCTCAACCTGGAAAGTGCATAAATCAAGACCTATAAGACCCAAACCAAATAAAATGGATGATTACCACAGGAGCAGGAAGTGAGGGAAAATACAAACAAAAGAAGAAAAAAGATACAGCAAGACTTTAAGGCAACATGCCTTAAATGTGATGCAATTAGAAAGACGACAGAAATTAACTAACTTGCTATACCCCTCCTAAAGCAGGAAAGCTGAGGCAGATCAAAGAAAATGCTGAGTCCTTTAACAAAGCCAAAAACAAAAACACAGTTACTGGGAAACAGACAAAAGGCTAAACTTGTTCCACACATCATACACCTCTCGCTCACATCAGAAACCAGAAAAAGGGTAAACAGTATTCATATATACCTGAATGATCAACTGATTTTGCTAGATCATCTGAAATTATTCCAAGAATGTCATCATCTGTGTTTAAAACTTCAGAAATATCAGCTAATGGGTCATCAGCAGGACCTAAATATAGTAAATATGTTTTTTAAAATTTCAGTATTTTCTCAGATATTAAGCCATTTGCTAAAAACCTAGAGTACAGCAGATACTGAGTGAGGCAAGTACTGGAATAAAAACCTGAGACTCTTAATTTTACAGTAAAAATTTTCCATAGCAAAGGAGATAATGTTTTGAATTACAAAAATTTACTAAAAATTCAGACGATTTTGTCTTGTGACTAATGTATATTGAGACAAAATTTAAAGACCTGTAGGCAATAAAAGTGAAACAGAATAAATGCTGTAAGAAACAAAGCAAAGAAAAAAAAGTTTTTCATTAAGAAAGTGGCATGTCTAAAAGTGACATTGAGAAATTAAAACACAGTAGGAAAAGTTAAAATATGAAAGACAAACCTGTCACTCTTTAGAAATTCCATATGGAGCACAAGCCAGAAATTCCATATGGAGCACAAGCCAGGTACCATCTAGTAACTACTTGCAGCTTTGCTGTTCATACTGATTACTCACTCATTTATTTTAAAAAGTATTTCACTACCCACAGAACTGTGTCTATGGATCACGTATCAGGCATTGCCCACTCAGTAATGACTGAAACAAAGTGCCTGCCCTCAGAGGGCTTACTTTCTCAGGGGGAGTTAGTAAATAAACGACATCGCTGTAAGTGCTATTTAAAGAAAAAACAAGGAAAAAGGATTAAAAATAAGCTGCGGGGATGTTGTATTAGACAGAGTGGTCTATGAAGACCTTTAGGAGATGACTGAGCATAAAACTAAATGAGGGAGTAAGTTATATGCACAAAGATGGAGATAACCCTCCAAACTAAGGCAAAGCAGACATAAAGCCCCTGGGGCAAGCCGGGTTTGCCAACGAGAGGCCAGAGTGTTAACAGTAAGAAAAACTGTGGTAAGGATAAAAAAGAGGCAGCTAGGGCAAGATTATGTTAAGATTTTAGAGATTATGGGGAAGACTGGGTTTTATTCTGAAGTGTAATGAGAAGTTGCTGGGAGGCTGAAAGATAGGAGATGACTAATATTTTAAAGGGAACATACTGGCTGCTATATGTAGAGCAGATGAGGGGTGGGAATTAGAGAGGGGCTGGTAAGATTAGAAAAGGGCACTGGTGCAGTCTGAGAGGTGAGGTGATGACAGCACCAGGGTTCTAAGGAAAGCTGAGACAAGTGGTCGGCTTTGGGACGTATTTTGAAGGCAGACACAAACGTGGATGAATGAAAGGGAAAGAAAAGTCAAGGAGGATTCTACGGGTTTGGGCTTAACCAAGAAACTATTGGAACTCTTGTTTAGGCTAGCTTTAATAATTATATTAGTCATTCAGTAAAGAGAAACTGAAATTTTTAATCCATCTCAAGCTTATTTTTACTTAAAAGGGGGAGGAGGGCATAAATGTAATATTCCAGGTCAAATACTTCTGTCAAACAGTCTTGGTCCCATTATATAGTTTTCAAAATGTAATTCATATGTAACATATCACATTAAGTTTTGCGTGCCCAAATATCCAGGAACTTTTTAGAGAAAATTATTTCAATAATGACAACACTGTAGTTGAATGAAAAAAAATCTGGATAATTTTTTTAGGAGTCATATAGCAGTTTTTTGTTTTAAAGTAATGGAATTCTACTATACAATTATAACTAATTTTTTAAAGACTGTTTTACAAGTTTGCCCCTACCTAAAGGATTTTATATCTGAATAAATCATTAAAATTGATATAATAGGCTACAATGAATGACATGTTAAAAAAAAGCCTTTAGTCATTAATTTTCCATTATAAAGTGAAAAGAGTAGTTCAATTGCAAAGAACAATTAATCTAGGTTTTGAAATGGGTATATTTTTCTAGTCCTCCAAGTTTTGGCCTTATTGTAAAACTGTTCTCTCTTCAGTATTTTTGTGGAAAAAAATAAATAAAGAAAAAAAAAAACTTGTATCAATATCTTTCCTATATGTTCTCTGTCCAATTTCAATCCTTTTGCTTTTAAAACTCAAGTGCAAAGAGCTCCTATTTAAGTCTTCAAAGTGGCTAGTTATGAGAGTTATAAGATAAACTTTATCGTAAAATATCCTTTGAAGGACCCACAGGTCTTTCATTATACATTATTTTTAACAACATACTGACAAGGACAAGAGCAGGTCATACTTAAAACAACAGAATTAAAGTAGGAGGTAAAAAATATGTAAGATTGAACAAACAAGAAGCATGACCTCACTACCAACAATGAGGCAGACTGGACATGCACATGTGTCCAACACGGGGTAAGATTGCTTCTAATTATTTCAAAAAGTCAAAATCAAAAATAGTTGTCAGTATTTCAATTCAGGATAATGCCAAGTTAATGAAGCATTAACTACTTAACATCCAAAGTCATTTTTCAGTGGAAGATTGCTTTAAAATTGTTTTTCAAAATGAGTTTATAAAATTAACTGAGTAACAAATGCAATTAATGGTAAAAAAAGGAAGCTTACCAAAAGAACAATGATTTACAATTGACAGAACCATAGGGGAGAAGTGGGAGAAACACTGATCAAGACACTTACCTACCCAATGAGTTAAACTCCTAGAGCCTTGCTGACATTGCTGTAACTCTGTAAATACATCAAGTTCTCATACCTTTCTCTGATTGTTAATAGTTCCTGCATTTAGGATAATGGTTCTCAACCGGGGGTGATTTTGCCCACCAAAACCAAAAGGTATTTGGCAATATCTGGAGATATTTTTGATCATCATGAGGCCAAAGATGCTGTTAAACATCCTTCTATACACCAGAAAGGCTCCCTCCCACAACAAAGAATTACTGGTGCAAACTGTCAGCAGTAAGAAACCATGACCTAGGGCAACAGACTTCACTGTAGTAACACAGTATGCCAGCAAGTTCCCAAGTACCCCCACATCCATTTCGGTTTCTCTGTTTTGAATTTAAGCTGTATGATTAACAAAAATCTATCTTAGATTTTTAGTCAAAAAGTCACTGTTGGCCAAATTATAACCCCTCACATTGCCCTCAGCAAAGTGTAAACCAAATGTTTTCCTTCACAACTCTTGATGTTGGTACTAGTTACACAGGTAAATTAATTTGCTACATCTTATACACCTGTCCACTTAAAATAGTTCCACTTACTGAATGTAAGTTATACTTCAATGCTGTTGATTTTTAAAATGCATATGAGGCCAAACAAAAACATTTCAAAAAGATTTAACTGAAAGGAAGATGTATGTTATATGATATAAAGAAAATATCTGTGAATAATTCTACATACCGTGAGTTCCAGATTTTGTTGGAGCCGAGGATGAACTAAGTAGTGGATCTAAGGAAGGATCCAAGAAACCTGTGTTCATGTTTGTTTTATATAAAAGCTGAGCTCCATCTTCTGACAGATTATCTAAACTTATCTTGCTTTGTCTACTTGTATCTAGAAGATCTTTTCCAAAGAAAGCTTCCTAGATGAAGATAAGCACATACAAAAATGGTTAGAAAATTCTAAAAAGACAATAGATTATTCTGTCATGGTTTTTGACAAGGAAGCAGAAATAACAGAAAAGGTTTATATTTAACAATATAGAAACTGAATACAGAAGTATTAAAAAATAGAAATATCCTGTCAATTATTTTATATAGATTCTCCTTATTTTAAAAATAAGATTTTTTGGTAGCTTTACTAGAGACAAAATTATGGAAATAAAACCACACAATTATACCAAAGGTTTCTAGAAACTGCAGAATAGCTTCATGAGTATTATTAATTTTTATAGATTACTTGCAGAGGACAGCATAAGACTTTGATCTACGGCTTTAATATTTACTTCAGGTAGATTTGTAATCTATTGATTCATATAACCACACTTACACTATAAGACTACTTACATCATCAATCTGAAAGACGGTTTTATAGTCAGTTTAGCCATACTATGTGTGCAATATTTACAGCTACTAAAGGCTTGTGGTTTTCTATTTATTTAGGCATATTAACATTTTTCCATTTCAATATACTTTCAAGCTGGGTTCCTTGCAACTCCAAGATCTCTCCAAAATTTCTCAAAAATCAATACCAAAGACAAAAGGGAAGCACAGTTCCACCCCTTTACCCTGCTTCAACCCAGGAACTCTGCTTTAGTCTATATCCTATGATGTAGTCTATCTGGAAAAAGGATCCTCCATACAGGACAATTTTGCAATACAACATTTAACACATTCTTGCCAAACATGCACAAAAAAGTTCACTGTAGCATATTTTGTAATGTCAAGAAGTAAAAATGGCCTTAATGTCTATCAACAGGCATAGAACTATCCAAATTATAGACACTTATATTACAAAATACAACAATTTTTTAAAAGTATATAGTTCTATGTTATCAAAGAAAAAGCCCTAAAATACATTACTAAAAGAAAGTAAGTTGAATTACACATACAGTAAATTATAAAATACAGGTCGGGCGCAGTAGCTCACGCCTGTAATCCCAGCATTTTGGGAGGCCGAGGTAGGTGGTTCACTTAGGCCCAGGAGTTAGAGACCAGCCTGGGCAACATGGCAAAACTCTTGACTCTACACAAAACACAAAAATTAGCCAGGCATGCGCCAACATGCCTGTAATCCCAGCTACCTGGAAGGCTGAGGCACGAGAATCACTTGAACCCAGAAGGCAGAGGTTGCAGTGAGCTGAGATCACATCACTGCATTCCAGCCTCAGTGACAGAGTGAGGCTGTCTCAAAAAAAAATTAGAAAGTTCAAATCAAGACTATTATAAGTTTGCAAAAATAAATTATAAAAAAGTTTCTGAAGGACAAATGCCAAATTATTAACAATACTACCCTTTGAGAAAAGAGATTGGGAGTGTGTGAAGTCTGGTGGAGGCAATGATATATCTGATTTGAAATGTTCACATTTTAAATGAAAAAGTCATCTCACTATGAAAAATCTAAAAATTCACAAAACTAGAATACCAGGTAGAAGAGGATTCATTTCTTATAATAAGCAATGCTTTTATCATTAGAAAAAATGATGAACAGCAGAAAGCGTTTTAGAAGTTTAGAGGTCATTTATTTAATGCCTTCAGTATAAATCTGAGAAATCTTACACCATCATCAGCAAGAATTCTGTCTAATGACTCATGACTTTACTGGTGTTTATCAAAAACTGTGTCACCCTTATTAATTTAGTGTGTTTTACATTCCCTGTAGATAACATAAAGAGGGGGCTCCATCCATATCGTCTCTAAAAGTCCAAGAAAACTACCATTAAAAAGGCCTCCCTCATGTCACACATACAGACACAGACACACACACACACACACACACACACACACACACACACGCTGAAAGTTACTGATGTGCAACAGGGGAACAAGACGGCCCAGGAGACTAAGATCACAGCAGTAATTGGGAAATTAGACCTAATAATTTTAAAGACTCTTTTGCCAAAGTATTAAATGGCTAGTTTTCATACTTGCAGAAACACCTAAAGAAAGCTTCTTAAATTTATATTACACTTTACAGAAGGATCAATAGGAGGAAAAGTAGGTTGCCATCACAATATTCCTAGAAAGGACTATTAAGAAGGGAGGTAAAGGGAATCCCAGGAGAAAACAACAACAAAGATGAAAAAAAAAAAAAAAAAAAAAAAAAAGGTAAGCCAACCTATAAATGGATTTTTTTTCCTGACCAATTAAATGATCGTTTAAAAAAAAACAAAGGTGCAAACCTAGGATATAAGAGATTGAGGGGAAAAACATGTATGAAGGATATACAAAAAGTAAGGCACAGGCTAGGCACTTTACATACATACTCTCACTGAACTTCTGAGCATTTCTGAGAGGCACCACTATGTCACAAATGAGGAAACCGAGACACAAGAGATGTTAAACAGAACAAAATCACACAGCTAACTGGTAGTGGAATGGTGTTTAAATCCTGACTTTATAGGCTGAGCTCTAACATGAATACTGCCATTAAGATGTTAGTAGCTACAAAAAAGAAAATTGAGGAAGTTGTATGCTAGTTGAAAGGCAATGTATTTTAAAACCAATTAAACTAGTAATACCTAACTGGAAAATTGATGTAAAAAATAAATGCAACTCAGGCAATGAAGGGTTATCTGTGTAAGCCATAGTTTCTTAGGAGGAACAGATCAGATGAATAGTTGTCTACAATGAAATGAGGATGGCCTCTCAATGATAGTCTGTTCCAGTTCAATTTTAACACATGAAGAAATAGAGGCCAGGAAGGATGAATAACACGCTTAGGAATTTACAATTAGTTAGATGCAGAGCCAGATATTTAATCTCAGTACAATTTCTAATATTGAGCTGTTTCCGTATCACATGGCCTTAAACTCTGACTTAATGTTTACAAGATGAACTAGAAAAAAATTTTTTTTGTAGTCTACATCTATCAAACATAATTTATTCGTACTGAAAGGTATTTTTCTGATGTGTATTTTGGAAAACAAAAAGAATACTGCTTAAATCTTTGGTTCTCCAGGCCTCTAAAAGTGGTAACGATTATTAAAGCTATAACTTTGGCTGAAAAGCCTATCTTTAATCAATGAATATAATTAATGTAACTTGTATTGGCAAAGGAAATTTCAACAGAACTTGGGTGTGGGGTATACATAGCTATCAATGACTTGGAAGATTGAGTTTTTCCTATCCCAAAGTGTCCTTGTTACATCTTATAGAATGCTTAGAAGTGAACAACTGGTATTAAAAAAGCAATTTATGACAAGTATCAAAGCACACAAAAAAAGTAAATTTAATTTTTATGGACCCCTGAAAGGTAAAAATGGCATTTATGATGACTAAATGACAACAAAACAAGTAAAACATTAACAAAAACAACAAACCTATGTTTTAAAACTCAATACATTTTATTTCCTCAATTAACAAACCATGTAAAATAATGTAAAGCAAAATATTACTTGTAAATAGGCAGGGAAAGTTTCTTCAAGCTTATTTTTCCTTTTTCGGTATCTCTTCTTTATTTTTTCAGTGCTTTCAGTAACAGAAACAGATTCATCAACTAAAGTATCTGGTAACTGCTCACTCCAGCCTGAAACAACAGTCACATTTATAAATATGTGACATTTAAAATTTCTAGACAAACCCACTGAAGGTAATTTTATACCTTACCAACATACACACAGTTTCATATAAACAAACAAGCTTTTTGAACAAAAAAATCTCAAATCAAGTTTGTTACTTTTAAGTGCCATAAAATTTTGATTTCATGTCTACTTAGTATTAGCATTTTTCCTATTTTCTTAATAATCGATTACAAAGCAAAAACGTATTTATTTAAACATATTTTGTTAAAGAGTAAAATAATAATAATAATAATAATAAATACCCAAAGCTCATGAGTATGACGAAATGGCAACTTATAAACTATTAAGAGAAATTCTGTGGGTGTAACTTTTTTGTAGGGTGTATTGAGAATACTCAACAAAAACCTTAAAGAAAAAGTGTGTCCTTTAATACAGCAATTCCAAGTTCAGAAATTTATTATAAATTATTTGTAGGATATACACATTGTGAAAACATGACGATGAATATGCTAATAAATATGCAATGAACACTTATTCTTGAAATCAGAAATGGAAATAAATTTGGGGACTATGAAACTAGCAAAGAAACAAGAACACAGCTTAAATTTGACAAATAAACAATCAAATGATATTCTCAGATGCTTCATAATGGCAGGGCAAATGGCACATCCCTTCTGAAAATCAATATGGGCACTCTACCACCAGACTACGTAAGTGAATTGACTCTTCTGAAAACTAGAAATAGACAAACATTTTTTACAACAATCTTTTTAAAGGCACCAGTAACCTAGCCAGAACATAAGGAATCCATGAAAAACAAAAATTAAGATAAATAAGGAACCACAGAAGTAAGCAAAAAAGTAAAAGCTCTCCGAAATTTGCTGAAATCCAATGACCTCAAACTCCAATTTTCAGAGCATTGCGAGGAATAGGGAATAGAAGACAAAGCTTAAGGCCTCTCTCCAAGGCAGACAGGCCAGAGGTGACTTGCATAAAGCTCAGGGTCAGTTTAATAAGAAATACACCTTCACACAAACCATCACTTGCCACCTCCTGCTCACCACCAATAGCAAAAAAAAAAAACAACTCCTGGCTGGATGCAGTGGTTCACGCCTGTAATCCCAGCCACTTGGGACGCTGACGCACGAGAATTGCTTGGACTCGGGAGGTGAAGGTTGCAGTGAGCTGAGACGGCACCACAGCACTCCAGCCTGGGTAACAGAGGAAGACTGTCTCAAAAACAAAATTTTTTTTAGATATCAGCTGGGCTCACATTTGTAATCCCAGCACTTTGGGAGGCTGAGGCAGGAGGATCGCTTGAGCACAGGAGTTGCAGGCCAGCCTGGGCAACAAAGTGAGACCCTGTCTTTGCAAAAAGCCAAAAAATTAGCTAGGCATGGTGGTGTGTGCCTGTGGTCTCCAGCTACATCAGAGGTTGAGGACAGGAGAACTACCTGAGCTCAGGAGTGCAAGGCTGCAGTGACCCATGATTGTGCCACTGCATGCCAACCTGGGTGACATAGTGAGACCCCTAGATAGATAGATAGATAGATAGATAGATAGATAGATAGATAGATAGACAGACAGATACATAAATAGATAAAAACTGAGGTGCACTGTCACTTGAGAATTTCAAATTATATGATAAGTAGCTAAGGCAGTCAAAGAAAGGCTTTGGAGATGACCAGAAAGTACCTTATGTAACTAAGTTATTCAGTCCCTAAACCATTTATATTTAAATATAGAAAATATATTTAATAATTTGATACAGGAAAAAAGAGCTTGTCAAAAAATCTCAAAAGAATAAAGTCTATTGGATTTAAACCATTTCCTTATAAAACCTGATTACTGTATTACAGATATGAACTCTATACGCACTCAAATCCTTTCATCAATAAAAGGCAATAAGACTCTTATTGAGTAACAATAAGAGGCAATAAGGCTCTTATTGACTGTAACATTATTTAGGATAGTTTTTTCCAATAGAAATATCAAGACCAAAGGGTTACATTAAAAAAAAAATTTTTTTTTAAGTCAGTACTATACCATCATCTCTGCAAGGTAACTGCTCGGAAATAGAGCCTGAGGAATCTTTTCTGATCACAGATCTTTTGGTTTTCCCTTGCCCAGTTCGACTTCTTTGCCGCACCATAAATCCACCAATACCTATCCAAAAAAGAAATTAGGTAAACTGATAAGTAATTTCTCCCTACATTTCCACAGTACACAGGATAAAACTGCTTTATCTTGAATAGTAAGTCATTTTCCAAAATTAAATCTGTGCTAATCTAAATCAATAACCTGATTTTTAGGTAAAATAGAAGTTAAAAACGACCAAAAAAAAAAAAAAAAAAGGCAAAGCCACTCTTATCACTTATCAAACAGAATACAAAAAGACCTGTGTGCACTTCCTCTTCTCAACAGTATCAGTGTAAATATCAAACACTAAATTACGCTGGCTTATCTATTTGACAAATATTAGTGCCTCATACATCACATAACAGTCATGCACTGCATAATGATGTTGGTCAACAAAGGGCTGCATGTCAAGGCAGTGGTCCCATAAGATTATAATGGAGCTGAAAAATTCCCACCACATACAGACATCACCGTAGTTATAACACCGTAGCACAATTACTTTATTTTTTTAAATGAATTTAGCGTACCATACAGCCTAAATGTGTAGTAAGCTATACCATCTAGGTTTGTGGAAGTGCACTCTATGATGTTCACGCAACGATGAAAATGCCTAATGATGTATTTCTCTGAACTTAAGTGATGGATGACTGTCTGTATATTAACCGGCTAACTGGTACATTAGCTGGAGGATAGAAGGCACAAACTACCTAGATGACACAAATATTCTTTGACTGATATGATTTCAGGGGGACGGTGTCTGGTACTCCAAGGTATGAGGGCATTTATACATGGGACACATAGAGCCCTGTGTTTAACAGCATGGAATCTGGAGTCAGACTATGTAATTCTGCTTACTAAATACTTCTCAATGCCTCAGTTCTTTCACTGGTTAAAAAAGGGGGTGAGGCAAAGCAGCTTCTCATACACATGTTAAAAGGACAAATAACATAAGTGAAGTGCTTAGAATAGAGGTCTGGTACACAGTCAACACTATAAGCTTTTGTGAAATGATATCGTTGTCTAGCAATTTACTCCGTGACCTAATGGGTCCCTCAATTAGAGGGTTGACTTCCATGTGAGGCAGAGGAAAAGAAAAAAAAAACGGTAAATACAAGTTCCTGGAAGAAATCTGCAATGTCTAAAAAAGTACACTTATAAGCCTCATGATCAGGAAGAAATGAAATCATTTTCATAAAACAATTCAGAAGCAACTAATCTTAGGTCCTTATTATAGATATGACCTATTTAAAAGATAGGTTATCTTTTAAGGTCTCATGGAATACGAATGAAGTAAGAAAGTTCTTCCTTCCATATCAAAAGGGATTTAGATCACTCTTACCAATAAAATATAAGCAATAAGAAGCATAAAGATTGTACAAATCCAATTTAAAACCTCATTGGTAAACAAGATATTAATAAACTGCCTAAGGAAAGCCTACTCAACACGTGTGATAAGCGGGAAAAAAATTTTTTAAATAAATACATAAAAGCCTACAACTTCTGTATTGTGACAATTTTAATAATTTTTTCCAATAAGGCAAATAAAACTGACAAGCAAGACCGCTTTTCTCTCCACTCCTGAGGCAGATAAGAAATGAGTGTTTAATCAGTCATGGTTTTTAACTGGACTATAAATTCTAGGAGCCATAATAACTCTGTCTTATTCCCCTTCACACTGTATACTTACTGGCACTCCTGCATAAACACTGAAATAAGTTTTTTCAAAAAAAGATATTAGAAAGTGAATACTGAAAATTAAAAGCGTTACAGAAGTACACATCCAGAGGAACTATATAAATGGCCTTCAAAGTCCAAGTATGAACAAAAGCCAATCTAGTAAAGCCTTTAATAAAATGGTTAACATTTGGGACAAGGCATTCAATAATGATTCATTGTGAAGTATTCACACATTCAAAATAAAGAACTCTAGAGCTAAAAAGTCGTATTCAAATAGTTTAGTTCTTTAATTTATGTGCACATATTTTTGTTTAGACAGTTCTGAAGCCTGAATATTTAATTTTAATTGAAGTCTTCAGTATTGTATTTTTCTTTAATTAACCAAGTGTTGATGATATTGAAATGTCTACCTCAGGCACTATACCTGGTCTGTATGGTTTCCTTTTTCTCTTTTTGACACCATCTGTTCCTTCCACTCCCTTAGTTTCATCATCCACAGCTTCCCGCTCAGGACTAGATTCTGATTTTCCATCACAATCCATAAGTTCTCCTTCTGGAAAAAAGTAAATGTATACACAAAACTGGAAAAACCTATCAAATATATAATCCCTACATAATGGGGAATAAAAAGTAGGGTTGTTGCTGAGCCATTTTAATTGTACATCCCTGTTGGTAGGGAAAGTATGAAAGGAGATAGAAGAAGCCCCAAATGGTTGTAGAAATTGTGCTGCTTAGTGCAGTGTTCCCATGAAATAAAACATAATCAGAGAAGGGGAACACAGAACTCAGAGTTCTGTTAAGTGCAATCCATTTGCACTTAACAAATTCACTTGCTTTTAATTATGTCTTCAGGTCCAGGTCTCTAGACTAGAACTCTCTTCTGAGCTTCAACCACAGCTATAATTGAATATTACCTAGTTACTGAAAACTGTATATCCAAAATGAACTACTAATTTAAAATAAACTTTCTCCTTTTTCCCATGTTACCTATCATCATTAAAAGGCATGGAAATGTAACCCGGAGAAGACAGAGGCCTGGAAGACCACCTCAATCATTCCTAATCTCTTTCCTCCTACAACCAAGACTTCTCAATACCTCTGAAATGCATTTTATCACTCTCTACTACCATCTTAGTCCAACCTCAGATGACTCACTATTAATACAACATGCTCCTATCTAGTTCCCCACCTTAAAGCTTACCTCTCTCCAATCAGTTCTTTAAATTACTGCATAAATGATCTTTCTATAAATATGTATCCATTTTCTGCTTAAAATCCTTTCATGTCTTCCCAATGCCCTCAAAATAAACTTTAAATTGCAAGGCCCATTACAACAGTCTCTTGTAAACTTTCCAGCTTCATCTCACTCCCACCAGTGAACTACACTCAGTTCTTTGAATGTATCAAGCTCTTTCTTCCACTATCTTCCCCAATTTCTGCCTTCTACCTAACTTATCTTTCAGGATTTATTCTAAACTTCACTGTATTAAAGAATTCCTGATATTTAGAAAAGATTATGTCAAACAGTTGTATGCTCCTATGTATTAATGTCATGCTTTATTTTTATTGGTTCTTTAAAATCTGTGTCCCTGCTAGACTATATTCTCCATGAGAACAGGTACACAGATTTTCTTAGTAACAGATGTATTGTTAGTAGGATACCTAATACATGTTCAATAAATACTTCACTGAATGAGGTAAATGGAATGCTTAGAGAATGCTATTTTAGAGAATGCTATTTTAACACTATGGTAATCAAACTTTTCCAAGTTATATATGCTTTACATTGTATTACAGGAAAAAGACATGTTTATCAAATACATTTTAAAATCAAGTTGTTAACTCCTTCAATATTCTCAGTATTAGAGATAACATATTTCAGTAATGGCATGAACAGGGTATTTGTCTTTTGTTTTTTATTATATTTGGTCTATATTTGAGGCCAATTCCATAACAATCTGATAATGGCTATCGGCTTATGACTAAGCCATGAAAAGAAAAGTTTATAGGCCAGGCACGGTGGCTCATGCCCATAATCCCAGCACTTTGGGAGGCTAAAGCAGGTGGATCACTTGAGGTCAGGAGTTCCGTACCAGCCTGACCAACATGGTGAGTCTCTACTAAAAATACAAAATTATCTGGGCGTGGTGGTACACGCCTAAAAGCCCAGCTATTCAGGAGGCTGAGGCAGGAGAATTGCTTGAACCTGGGAGGCGGAGGTTTCAGTGAGCCGAGATTGTGCCATTGCACTCCAGCCTGAGCAGCAAGAGTGAAATTCCAACTCTCAAAAAAAAAAAAAGGCCAGGCACGGTGGCTCACGCCTGTAATCCCAGCACTTTGGGAGGCCGAGGCGGGCAGATCACGAGGTCAGGAGATCGAGACCATCCTGGCTAACACAGTGAAACCCTGTCTCTACTAAAAAATACAAAAAATTAGCCAGGTGAGGTGGCTGGTGCCTGTAGTCCCAGCTACGTGGGAGGCTGAGGCAGGAGCATGGCGTGAACCTGGGAGGCAGAGCTTGCAGTGAGCCGAATTGGCACCACTGCACTCCACCCTGGGCGACAGCGGGACTCCGTCTCAAAAAAAAAAAAAAAAAAAATGACAGGGAATTTTGAGTTAAGATGGCAGACTAAATTCATATGTTAAAATTACATTCTCCTGAAACCCTACTAAAAAACACACTGAAATAATCTATTTTTAAAAGATAAAATCAAGCTGTGGCATGGTGGCATGCCGGTAATCCCAGCTATTTGGGAGGCTGAGGTGGGAGAAGAGAATTGCTTGAGCCCAGAAGGTTGAGGCTACAGTGAGTTATGATCACACTACTGCATTCTAGCCTGGACAACAGAGAAAGACCCAATCTCCTTTAAAAAAAAAAAAAAAAAGACAATAGGAAAGGAGAAAAACAACTTAACAAAGGCAAATTCTCAGTTGAGAGCAGAAAGAACTGAAAAAAAGAATCCAGTTTATAACACTCCTCAGAAGGCTGAGAAACTAGGAAAACTGGCCACCTTTGGAAATAAGTGGGAGAAAACCCAAGCAACAAGAGATTTAATTATCTGCAGAAGTCATACTCCCTACATCTGCTTCCTAGGTTTACACACTGAGAAGCTGCTACTCTCATTTGTGGGATGCAGGATTCCTGGGTGACCTTAAATGGAACAATGGGATGAAGACTGAAAATAGGACCAAGAAAATATGGGCATACTAAATGTGGACAACCCCATCCTGCTCCCGCTGCCAGACCCCACGTTTCCCCACTGAATTCTCAGAAAGCTAGCAGCCAGATCTCTAGCCTCCAAGTATGAGGTTTGAAAAGACTGCAGTGGGGAACCTGAGCAGTTCAAGAAGAACATCTAAAGATACGGAAACCAGAGGGTTCACCAAATGGTCAGCACAAATCACCCCACTAAACTTACAAATCGACAAGCACCACCACATACAGAAAGCTTTCTAATCAACTACTTAATTCCTTTTTTAAAAAATAAAAATACTATCTATCCAGTCTCCATCTTTAGTTCTTCACTTTTAATCATGCATGTACCATAAAGATTATCCGACTATGGTCTATAACAAGCTTGTCCAACCTGCAGCCAAGATGCTTTAAATGCAGCCCAACACAAATTCATAAACTTTCATAAAACATTATGAGACTTTTTATGAGTTTTTTTTTTTTTAAAAAAGCTCATCAGCTATCATTAGTGTATTTTATGTGTGGCCCAAGACAATGCTTCTTCCATTGTGGGCCATGGAAGCCAGAAGATCTGCAACACCCCTGATCTGTAACATGAAAGACAGAGACCTGAGAACATAAAAGACAATTTGGAATTAACAGACTAAGTAGGAAGAAAAAAAATCTTAAAAAAGATTAAAATCCTCTGAGGGATAATATAAGATACCCATGAGGCAAGAATAGGATGCTACAAAAGAAACATTCAAAGGGAGGAAAGAAAGCTCTTGAAATAACTGAAATAGAAATAAAACTCAGTAGAGGAAGATAAAATAAGGACATGAATTGGAAAGAAGCAGAGAAAAACTGAGTATGTTTCACATCTGAAAAGCAGAATTCTGGAAAAACAGAGGGAATTGTTATCAATAATATAGTTCAAGAACATTTCCTACCACTGAAGGATATAAGACAGCAGACTGAAAGAGACCACTCAGTGCCTAACAAAACAGATTTTAAAAATCAAAAATAGACAAAAACAGACGTTATCCTCATGAAATTTTAGAACACTGAGGACAAAGAATTTCCCAAAATCTTAACAGCTTCCAAGAAAACGCAGGTCACATAGAGAGAACCGAGTTCTTCATATACTAGAAACTAAAAGACAGTGGATCAATTGACTAAAATTGATAAATGAAAATGTATTTCCAACCTGGAAAAGATGAGTCAGGTAGGAAGGTAAAATAAAGACATTTTCAGAAGTATATAATGCTCAAAACTTACCTTCCACACATTCTCTGTCAGGGAGCTATGGAATATACGTTCCACCCAAATAGAGGGAAAAAATAAAGAGAAATTCATGAAATTGCAGAAAACACATGTAACACAGGAGAGAACAGAAGATGATCTCCAGGATGATGAAGAGGAAATCCCCAAGTTAATCATATGTAATGGTTTGTGGCCAAGGATAACACTGGATCTAGTACAAAGGCCACCTTTCACCTGAAACAATGCACACAAGGACAGTAAAAACCAAGAGAGCACTTTTATTGATGAGGTTCATAGTGACACCAGTAAGCATACATGTTGAGACAAATGGCATAAAGTAGCACATACAGTGCCCTCACACAGGTGGTATCA
The DNA here is from genome assembly GCF_000001405.40 of Homo sapiens. Lineage (NCBI taxonomy): Eukaryota > Metazoa > Chordata > Mammalia > Primates > Hominidae > Homo > Homo sapiens. The sequence goes on from NC_000007.14 coordinate 152,211,683, forward strand.
CTGTAGGCTAAAGTCTCTTCTAACCAACATCTTCACAAGGGCCTTCTGATTCCCACAGGCTGAAATAAAGAAAAAGACCGTATCGGCCAGGCACGGTGGCTCATGCCTGTAATCCCAGCACCTTGGGAGGCTGAGGCGGGCGGATCACGAGGTCAGGAGATAGACACCATCCTGGCTAACACAGTGAAAACCCGTCTCTACTAAAAATACAAAAAATTAGCCGGGCGTGGTGGCAGGTGCCTGTAGTCCCAGCTACTCCAGAGGCTGAGGCAAGAGAATGGCACGAACCTGGGAGGCAGAGCTTGCAGTGAGCCGAGATTGCGCCACTGCACTCCAGCCTGGGCGACAAAGCAAGACTCCATCGAAAGAAACGAAGAAAAGAGAAGAGAAGAGACGAGACGAGGACAGAAAGAAAGACAGACAGAAAGAAAAGAAAAAGACCATATCACCCAAATATGAGAAATTCTCCCATATATACATACTTGTATCTAGATGACTAATCTCTGGAAAGCTATAAGAAAACACTGGTTCTTTCCAAGGAAGGGATGGTCAAAAGGTAGGCTAACTTAACACTGTTCACTCTTTTTAAGACCTCTGTATTTCTTGTATCATGCACAGGTATTGCCTATTCAAAAACAAACCTACAACAGGGAAAGACTGAAAGCTTTTCTTCAATATCTGCTACAAGGCAAGGATGCCTACTCTTAACACTTATATTCAACATAGTCCTAGCCAGAGCAATCACATAAGAAAAGGAAATAAAAGGCATCAGCAGAAAAAAGCGGGTAAAATTATCCCTGTGTGCAGATGACATGATCCTGTATGTAGAAACCCCCAAAAATTCCACAGTTACTAGAATAAATGAATTCAGTCAAGTAGCAGGATACAAAATCAATATACAAAAATCAGATGCATTTCTTTATACAAATAATGATCTGAAAAAAAAATGAAGAAAACATTTCCATTTAAAATAACATCAAAAAGAATAAAACACTGAGGAACAAATTTAATGAAGGAAGTGAAAGCTTTATATACTAAACACTATAAAATATTGACAAAAGAAACTAAAGACACACAGCCGGGCATGGTGGCTCACGCCTGTAATCCCAGCACTTTGGGAGGCCAAGGCGGGTAGATCACCTGAAGTCAGGAGTTCAAGACCAGCCTGGCCAACATGGCGAAACCCTGTCTCTACTAAAAATACAAAAATTGGCCAGGCAGGCGTGGTGGCAGGCACCTGTAATCCCAGCTACTTGGGGGGCTGAGGCAGCAGAATTGCTTGAACCCAGGAGGCGGCAGAGGTTGCAGTGAGCGGAGATCACACCACTGCACTTCTGCCTGGGCAACAGAGCGTGACTCTGTCTCAAAAAACAGAAAAAAAACTAAAGACACAAATAAATATAACGATATCCCCATGTTTGTAGATTGGAAGAATATTGTTAAAATGTCCATACTATCCAAAGTGATCTACAGATTCAATGCAATCCCTATCAAATTTCCAAAGGCATTTTTCACAAAAATAGAAAACACAATTCTAAAATTTGTATTAAATCATAAAAGACCCTGAATAGCCAAAAGAATCTTGAGAAAGAAAAACAAAGTAGAAGGTATCACACTACCTGATTTCAAGTTATATTACAAAGTGATAGTTAACAAAACAGTATGGTACTGGCATAAAAACAGACACATGGATCAATGGAACTGAATACAGAGCCCAAAAATAAACCCAAGCATATATTATGAGCTAATTTTTGACAAGTCCAATAAGATACAATAGGGAAAAGATGGTGTCTTCAATAAGTAGTGGTAAGAAAACTAGATATCTATATGCAAAAGAATGAAACTGGACCTGATGCCTATCTTACACATCATACATAAAAAGCAACTCAAAATAGATTAAATACCTAACACCTGAAACCATAAAACTCCTAGAAGGAAATATAGGAGAAAAACTCCTTGATATCCTCCTTGACAATGATTTTTTGGATATCACACCAAAAGCTCAGGTAGCAAAAGCAAAAATAAGCAAGTGGGACTACATCAAGCAAATAAGCTTCTGCATAGCAATAAAAAAAAAAAAAAAACACCGGGGTGAAAAGGTAGCACAGGGATTAGGGGAAAATATTGGCAAACCACACATCTGATAAGGGGTTAAAATCCAAAACATATAAGGAACTCACACAACTCAGTAGCAAAAAAATCCCAAATAACTGGATTTTAAAATAGGCAAGGACCTGAATAGCCATTTTTCCAAAGTCACACAAATGGTCAAATGGTATATGAAAAGATGCTCAACATCATAATCATGAGAAAAATGAAAATTAAAACCACAATAGATATCATCTCATGTCTCTTAGAATGACTATTATCAAAAAGGCAAAGACATAAGTGTTGGTGAGGATGTGTAGAAAACGAAACCTTTGTACATGGTTGATAGGAATGTAAATTAGTATAGCCATTATTGAAAACAGTATAGAGTTTCCTTAAAAAAAAAAAAACTACCACCATAAGATCCAACAATGCCTCTGTTGGGCATATATTCAAAGGTAATAAAATCAGCATCTGAGAGAGACATCTGCACTCCCATATTCATGGCGACATTACTCCCAATAGCCAAGATATGGAAACAAACTAAGTGTCCTGATGGACAATTTACTTACCCATTCAAGGACAGATGAATGGATAAAGAAATTGTGACGTGTGTATACACATATATTAAGTCCTCCCTTAATGTCATCAATAGGTTCTTGGGAACTGAGACGTTAAGCTAAATGAACATACAGCAGGTCCTCAAGTAACACTGTTTCCTTCAATCTAATTTTGGCATAATGCAAAATGAAAAAAAAATCAGTTTTGTCATACTTTTTTCCCCCTCTTAACCACAGTTTCTAAGAACTTACTGATGACAATGAGGACTTTATACAATGGAATAGTTAGCTTTAAGAAAGGAGACACTGCCATTTGTGACAACATGGATGAACCGGGAGGAAAGTATACTAAATAAAGTAAGCCAGACACAGAAAAATACTGTATGATCTCACTTAATAAGCAGAATGGTAGGCAGCGGGGTGAGAAGCTGAACGTATAGAGAGTAGAATGGTGGTTATCAAGGGTCTGGAGGTAGGGGATGGGTGGGATGGGCAGAAGTAGGTCGGAGGGTACAAATCTGCAGTTAGGTAAGACGAGTAATTCTAGAGATCAAATTAATACACAGCATGAGAACCACAGTTAATAATATTGTAATGAAAATTTGCTGAAAGAGATTTTAGGTGTACACACACAGAGAGTAACTATGGAAGGTGAAGGATACAGACATTTGTTTGACCATAGTAATCATTTCACTATGTATACAAAGCATGTTGTATACCTCAGATATGTGTAATAAAAATAAATGAAAAAAAAAACTGTATCCTACCTGCCAAAAACAGTTTTAAATGCATTATGTCTTTGGATTTAGCAAGGAATTCACCTTTGCAGGCCCACTTACATACAACATTATAAATATACCAGGTGATTCATTGTACTATTCACAGTAAAAGACTGAAAGAAAGCCGAGCGCGGTGGCTCACACCTGTAATCCCAGCACTTTGGGAGGCCGAGGCAGGCAGATCACGAGTTCAGGAGATTGAGACCAACCTGGCTAACATGGTGAAACCCCGCCTCTACTAAAAATACAAAAAAATTAGCCGGGCGTGGTGGCAGGTGCCTGTAGTCCCAGCTACTCGGGAGGCTGAGGCAGGAGAATGGCGTGAACCCAGGAGGCGGAGCTTGCAGTGAGCAAAGATCGTGCCACTGCACTCCAGCCTGGGCGACACAGCAAGACTCTGTCTCAAAAAAAAAAAAAAAAAAAAAAAAAAAGATTGAAAGAAACCCAAAGGTCTATCAACAGGGGAAAGAACAGGTAAGTTAAATTGCTTATATTTCCATACAAAGGAATATTTGCAGCCATAAAAAAATGAAGGACAGTAAATAGTAGTAAGACAAAAGGAACAAAATATATATATATACACACACACATACACACACAAAATATATATATATACACACACACACACACACACACACATTTCCTTATACATGCATAAAACACATCTGGAAGGTTACACAAGAAACCTCTGAGGTTTCTGGAGATGTAAACTGGGGGCATGAAGGCAGGGGAAAGGGAGAGACTTCACTGTTTACCTTTTAATTATTTTCCAATTTTAAATCATTTGAATGTATAACTTGTCTAAAAATCAAATTTTAAAAGTTGAGGGAATTAACATTACAGAAAGTAACAAACCTCAAGGAAGCAGCCACCTTCACCAGATGGATAGTCTACCTCACTCTTCCCACTCTCCAGTAGTTACTGAATGCCAGTCCCCTCCCTCCATTCAGTCTGCCCCACCTGCTGGCCTTCTAGAGCCTCAGTGCAGTCCTATTCCCACACCTCCCAACACATCCATACACTGTGATGGTCGATCTGGGACCACCAGTTGAGAGGAAATGTGTTGTGTTTCCACTCTTGAGACAAACAGAGTGTTATTTTATTGAGGTATGGGATTTTTTTCTTGCATTAACAGGGTTTCTAGATCCCAGGAGGTGAATGAGAAAGAAGTATGCTTTTATTGCATAAGGAATTTGTTTCTGATACACCAAAGTGATGATGTATGACTTTTCTTAAGGAAGCGGTTATTAGAAGAGTTAAAAATAAATAGAAACAAAAAGTCATAGGTATTGTTCCAATACTCCAGGAACATCACAGTTTGGATTCTGTAGATGTGTGTAATATAATGTGTAATATTACATTCTGACAACCTCAAGTTGAAAACTGCACAGCTGAAGATCACTTATAGTCAATAATACTTTTCAAACTTTAATTTTAAATTCATCAAGTCTCTCCCTAATGTATTGTACTTTTTAATAAAGGAAACTGTCAGATATGCTATAATACAGAGGAAAACGTTTATATACTCTTTCATTATAATTTTTCCACAACTTCCAAAATGAAGAAAAAGACATGGAAACATTAAGCTCATAGAATAATTGTGGCAGACAATTCCCTCATCCTAAAAGTTCAATTACCCCAACACAGGCATAATTTCTTACTAACTCAAAAGGAACTGAATTCACATATAAAGACAAGCATGGGATTCTGTTGAGTTCTGTTGGACACAAGACACAATTGCTCAAGCACTGGTTGAGCACTTGTATTCTAATAGCTCACGGTTACTGAGCACTCCATGTGTGGGAAGAGCCAGTGCTGGGTGCCTGGCATGCATCCTTGCACCTCATCAGCACAACTATCCTATGGGCTCATCCTGGTTCACCTATTTTATAAATGAGAACACTAGCATCAAAGAAGTTAAAAAATTTGCCTAAAAACACCCAGAGTAGGTTTCATCATTGCCCACTACTTTATAATGTTTTCCCAAGGGTACTGAGACATTATCAAAACACGTTAGTGAAACAGTCTAAAACATCACAAATTTTAGGTTTAATACAAAATACCCAGAAAAGGGCAGTGTTATTAGAAATCTCAGCATAATGTAATAATAAGAACTTACGATGATTGTATTCTTTCCCTATTTTTTCTCCTGTACAGGCATATGAAATACCATAAAACTTATTTTAGGGGTGTGTGTGTACATGTAGTTTCAGGATAATATAGTAATCTAAAACATTTTTAATATGGCAAAGTGTGGCAATACTGAATTTTTAAAAGGGATTTTTATTTAGCAAACAGAAAGCAAAAATGTTGTCCAAGTAACATGCACTTATTTTATCCCTAGGAATGTACCTTTCCTTCTGCAAAGGATGTGAGATCCTGGCACGTAAATGAACATGAGGGACTAGTCATGAAAATGCTGTATATTCAATTCCTTAAATTCTAAAATTGTCTTAGCATTTAACATCCAACACACTAAACAATCTTTTTTCATATTCAATAAAAATAAGGACAAATTCAGTAAATTCAGATGGGCTATTTTATCACGTAAATTTTAAAAAAGCAAGGGTAATTTTTCAACTGATTTTCTTTTACCCTGATACGAGTCAATGAGAAAATATGAAATTGAAACATATCACCATTTCTCAGTTTACAAGTGGTAGTCACAAGGAAAACCTTCCAAGGTCTTTTGTGTTGTTTTTAAAAGGTATTATAATCTCATAATTTGGGAAACAATGTGTACTATTATCAAGAAACCTTTCATATTTTGTGAAATGGAGCACTTCCCAAATTTAAGAGACTATGGAAACCTTTTTCAGACATTTTTTAACATCCTCAGAAATGGAAATTCTTGTTAAAGCTGATCTGATCAATTCCTCCTAAGTATATGGACTACTTCTTTGCAAACTCCAACTGCCCAAATCAAATTACCTGTTCAATTGTATCTGAAAATCAGTTACATACAAGCATCAGAAAGTGTTTCTCCCAGTAACATAGACCCAAAACACACTACAAAACAAAAATTATCAAGAACATACAAAAGACATATCTTTTCATTTATTTATTTATTTTTTGAGATGGAGTCTCACTCTGTCACCAGGCTGGAGTGCAGTGGCTCGATCTTGGCTCACTGCAACCTCTGCCTCCTGGGTTCAAGCAATCCTCTGCCTCTGCCTCCCGAGTAGCTGGGATTACAGGTGCCTGCCACCACACCCAGCTAATTTTTGTATTTTTAGTAGAGATGAGGTTTTACCATGTTGGCCAGGATGGTCTTGATCGCCTGACCTCAGGTGATCCACCCGCCTTGGCCTCCCAAAATGCTGGGATTACAGATTATAGGCATGAGCCACCGAGCCCGGCCACAAATGACATACCTTTTCAAAGCCACAATTACCTCTCACCTGGACCATTGTTTCTCACTGATCTACCTGTCATAACTCTTGCACCTAATCATCTATTTATATCATAGGAGAGTGTTCCTCTTAAAATATAAATAAGATCATGGTGTTCTTCTTTTCAGGAACATTCAATGGCCTCCCATTCCATTGCTATTAAGCACAAACTACTGACACATCACCTTATGGTTGTGTGAGATATACTGAGCCGTCCTTCTTGTCCTCACATCTCTAATCTTCTCACCTTCTGACTGTCCCCTCTGCTCACTCTGTTGGTCTCCACAACACTCTTTCTTCAAACATGCTCAGCACACTCTCACCCAGAGCCTTTACATCGGCTTCCTCACTGTCTGGGATGCTCTTCTCTCAGGTAATCAAGTGGCTCACTCACTCACCTCTTTAAAATCTGTGCTCAAATACTGCTTTCTGTTCATATGGACCCTAAACACCCATCTGTACTTCCAATTCCTTTTTTTTTTTTTGGAGACAGAGTCTTGCTCTGTCACCCACGCTGGAGTGCAGTGGTGCAATCTCAGCTCACTGTAACCTCCGCCTCCCAGGTTCAAGCAATTCTCCTGCCTTGGCCTCCCGAGTAGCTGGGATTACAGGTGCATGCCACTGAGCCCGGCTAATTTTTGTATTTTTAGCAGAGAATGGGTTTCACCATGTTGGCCAGTCTGGTCTCGAACTCCTGACCACAAGTGATCTACCTACCTCGGCCTCCCAAAGTGCTGAGATTACAGGCATGAGCCACTGCGCCTGGCCAGGCAATTCTTATCAAACTTTATTTTTACCATGGGACTTGCCAAACACATTATAATTAACTGATTTTTTTTAAGAGTTGGGTTACCTAACATTAAAATATAAACTCTATGCAGAGAATTCTACCTGCTTTGTACACTGATATGATTTCCAACATCTGACATACAGTAGATATTCAATAAATTCTATTGTCTCAAAGCCAGCTGCAGTGGCGCATGCCTATAGTACCTGCTACTTGAGAGGCTGAGGCAGAAGGATCACTTGAGCCCAGGAGTTGGAAACCAGCCTGGGCAACGTAACAAGACACTGCCCCTTAAAAAAAAAAAACAAAAAACTATGAAATAAAATATAATCAAACAAATAATTATCACTTCATTTCTGAATCAGTTGAAAATAAATAACCGCCCCAAAAATGAGCAAACCAACAGTAATCCTCTTTAACTCATATTGGATTTTGGGTTACTATTAAAATATTTTGCTATCTCAAGAACTCAGCAGGCTGAGCAGAGCAGATGGTTTGAGCCCAGGAGTTCCAGACCAGTCTGGGCAACATGGCAAAACCCCATCTCTACAAAAAAATACAAAAATTAGCCAGGCGTGGTGGCCCGCATCCATGGTCCCAGCTACTCAGGAGGCTGAGGTAGGAGGGTCGCATGAACCCAGGAGGCAGAGGTTGTAGTAAGCCAAGATCGTGTCACTGCACTCTAACCTGGGCAACAGAGCAAGACCCTGTCTCCCAACTGAAAAAAAAAAAAAGAATTCAGCTAGAAAAACCTTATATTTACTTTGATCAAGAAAATGTTTATAAACCAATACTTTATGATGCACACTGGTGAATATGAAGTTATACCTGAAGTAACATTAAATGACAGCTTTTCCATTTCTAGAATGTATGCATCAACTACCTTAACTGAAACATGGTATTATCCAAGCTCACAGTATCTGAGAAGGTTTGTGTCGTTATCTAGCAAACTAAAGTCAAGCCCTCTGTAGTTCCCCACCTGTGATCTTCAAAGATATGGTGCTCCTTGAGATTTCTGTAAGGTAGGTCTGTTCTAAAATGTGTGAAAGGAAGAGAACCTGAAAAGGCAAGGTCTAAGAAGATCACTCATTTGGAAATGGCAAGGGTCAGTCACATCAGGGGTTAACTAAGTCAGTGTGATTTACCCTTTGGTAAATCATACACATATTTCAAAAGTTACTTTATATGCTTTAATTCTTGCACACATATTTCATGGAAAATAAATTAGTATTACCTCGACTATCATCCATTTCACCATCCCTTGAATGCTCTGATTGGATGTCTGGAGGGGTCTGAAGGACGGCCACGCTATTCTGATTTATAATCTTCAATTTCAATTTTGGTTTTGACCGTTTTCTTCTTGGAACTGTAACTGTGAGGCTCTGTAACTGAGTCATCCCTGATTCAGTCAAACACACACCATCCTGGGTATAAGTCTTGGGTGGGTCTAAAATTACAAAATCCCAAGGATACAAATTTAAACTTTCATTTCAAATTTGACTGATTACTGTTCCAAAATACCCATGTCAAGGGAATGTGACTGTAGTTCTAGAAAGCAATTACGTATCTATGAAATGCATGAATAATTAACTTCATGATACCCAATAAAAACTATGAACAATAGGTCAAATTTCCTTGGATTACAGGCAGAAAGGTTGCATGTTTTTAAAAAATGGTCTTCCTGGGCCAGGTGCAGGGGCTCATGCCTGTAATCCCAGCACTTTGGGGGGCCGAGGCGGCAGGCAGATCACGAGGTCATGAGATCGAGACCATGCTGGCTAACACAGTGAAACCCTGTCTCTTCTAAAAATACAACAAATTAGCCAGGCGTGGTGGCGGGCACCTGTAATCCCAGCTATGCGGGAGGCTGAGGCAGGAGAATCGCTTGAACCCGGGAGGCAGAGGTTGCAGTGAGCCGAGATCGTGCCACTGCACTCCAGCCTGGGCGACAGGGCGAGACTCTGTCTCAAAAAAGTCTTCCTGGAATTTCTATTTTCATGTCCCAATAAAAAGAGTTAGAAGCACTGCAACTAAATGCAATGCTCAGCTAATCCACTATGAGCTTCTTCGTAGAAAAGATCAAAAGGCAGGGATCTATTTACGTAAGAGAAGAGAGAATACTCCAGAAGCTCATCTGGAAAAATCAGAGTATCAACATAATTACTAATAGGGAGAAGTAATAAATAAGTACAAATCCTGCAGATTTAATTTTAAATGTACAAAACTGTTGTTCCTTAGAACAATTCCTGTACTATCCAAACATTTTTGTATCAGGTGCTATTAAATACAAATATTCAAAAGAATGACTGTTTAATAAGAATATCATATGAATCACCATACTAGGCTTATTAATTATTTTAAAAATTAAGAGATTGAATTAATTCTAAAAGAAATCTGTTCGCTAACTAGGCCGTGTTTTCTGCTAACTGATAATTAAGCACAGTAATATATCAATGAAACTAAAGCAAGTATGGCATTAATGGTTATTCTAAGAGCTGTTATTTTTGTTGCCTACTTGCTGAAATTTATAGGAATACTGCCCCAGTAAAGCTGGATGACATTTTATATATCATTGTGGAAATGATTACCAACATTACAGAATTTGGATAGAACACCCATATGATTGAAGCAGGTTTGACAAGTGGTAAGCCAATTATGTAAAAATTAAGCAAAGTAAATTAATTAAATCAAGTAAAGCATTTCAAATTTTACCTAGCTCTTTTACTTTTGTGACAATTTGTGCTACAAGTGAAGATTCACAGCAGTCTGAGGAAGGCACTGAAACGAAAAAAAAAAATCCAGGTAATTCTTTTCAGAAAAGGTAAAGTGTATTTAAATACTTATATATGATTATAATTTCTGTTTCTATACTCATTTTATTAAAATAAATGTTTGAACACTAAAGTTAAAAGTGCTTTTTAAAGCAACAACAAAACAAGAAGTGATGAAGGAAATACTCAAGTCATGGAGGAAAACCTGGCTAAGAAACAATCAACATATTGGATTCTGACATATTGTCAATAACTACAAGATCATGTTCCTTGGAAGCAAAATTATAGTTTACATCTAAAGTATATGCTTTTTATTGTTTCATGTAAATTGTTTTATAACAAGTTGTGATAAGTCATGTATAACCAAAAATAATATTTTTCATAAAATACTTGTCAAAGTAAGTTTCACAAAGACAAAATAGAGTAGAGCTAAGCTAATTCATTGGTTATGGACAGTAAGGTGCAAGTGAGTGGTACAAGAGTGCAGACTCACAGTTTAAATTATTCTCTTACCATTAGACGCAGGCATATAGGGTCTGCACATGCTACAATCAAAACCAATGTCTGCTACATTTTCCACTTCTTCCTCAGTATTTAAGTTCTGACAAACTGCATGCATCCATCTAAAAAGACCATATTTGTACATTTTTTTTAAAAAATGGAATATACTGAGAACTGCTACCTTTTAAAACCTGTAACACTGAGTCTTCAAACTTAAAAGCCCTAAGCCTCACATGCTCCTCCTACCTTGCCCTTTTCTCCTAACTATCTCTATTAACAGAAAAACTTTCATACAGCTAAGAAGGAAATAAAAAGGAATGAGAACAACTATTAGAGAGGAAGCAAAGCACATTACATAAGGAAGCTAATTATTTTATCATCATATATTAAATATTTCAAAGACAGAAAGGAAGCTAGTTAGGGCAAACACAAAGGTATTCAGAAAACTGCAAATGGCAGTGCTAGCAGGTATGTGCTCCAGGTAATGCATCTAACTTGAAGTAGACATATCTCACGGAAAGCGATGTTGAATGGTAATCGGGAAATTAAGTAAAAAGTTGTCTTGCAATGGAACAAATAATTAGTAGCCAGAGTCCCAAGAATACTGTACTACTGATAAAATAATACTATTAATAATATATGTTCACTTCTTAACTTCTAAAGAGTACAACAATATACCAATGAAAGCAAGGAAACATTCTTGATTATGAAATTCCACATAATTACGTAGGGAGGGCAGAAGGTGCTATCTAATATCTAGATATCTAGTATCTAGAGCTTTAAGAAAAAGTGGTTTAAGGAGAACAGAATGTGTTAGATATTTTTTATAATCTATTAGAAGATTCAGAAACCCTTCATAAGAAACGGCATAGATGAAGGCAATAATTCTCCATCTAATTTCAAGGGATTCCTAAACCCTCAAAAAGGCCTAAATTAAAAATCTTTAGTCTTGGGCGGGCACAGTGGCTCACACCTATAATCATAAAACTTTAGGAGGCTGAGGCGGGCGGTCAAAAGATGGTCAAAAGATGGAGACCATCCTGGCCAACATGGTGAAACCCTGTCTCTACTAAAAATACAAAAATTAGCTGGGCGTGGTGGCATGCACCTGTAGTCCCAGATACTCGGGAGGCTGAGGCAGGAGAATCGCTTGAACCCAGGAGGCGGAGGTGGAGGTTGCAGTGAGCCAAGATAGCGCCACTGCACTCCAGCCTGGTGACAGAGCAAGACTCTGTCTCTAAATTTAAAAACAAAACAAAACAAAATTTTAGTCCGGAGTTGAGAATTCAAAACAGGAAATCGCTTCTGTAAGTTTCTAGGTGACTAAAAATCTACAAGGCAAAAAGTTCTGTACCTAAAACTTGTGATTAAGGAAAAGCTATTTTCCATTTGTTTTTTTTTTTGCTACATTTCAAAGAGAAAAGCTTTAAAAAGATGAAAAAATAGCACAATACCTATCACATTGTCTACATTGCAGAATAAGATCTTCTTCTCTATAGTTTCGATAGCAGACTGGACAGGAAGATAAGCTTGCACAAGGAGCGCACTGTGTGTAATTGTTCTGCCATTCACATCTTAGACCTGCAGATGTTGCTCCACAGTGTCTGCACCAAACACACCTGAAATCCAAATCCCCCCGAAAAGTCTCAATTTTATTTTCTTAGTTACTCAGTTACTGTAATTCAGGAAGCTACATACGAACATAATGGGGGAAATGATTTAATGTGTATGTGAAAATTTTTCTGATTACTGGTATCTATCATAGAATATGTGTATTATTCAATTAAATAGGTGTGGCTAATTTTTAAAAACCAAAGTGGTATGAGAAAGCTCTGAACTTGAAAGACTAACAAGGCAAACAAACCCTAGAGTACCATTTGCACTTCCAGCCTCCTTTGGGAACTGTCTGCAATGGAGGGTCTAGGCAGTAGGTGTGATAACTTATGTCACAGTCATCACACAGCAGGAGTCTTCCTGGGTCAGTTGCCTTCCCACAGGCCTCACACACAGTGCACTCAAGACACCTCCAACCTTTGCTAAGAACCACTTTAGTGATCTGTAAAAGAAACAACCAATCCATGTGATTTATGCATTAACCTAACATAATCAAATATACTATATAAATTAATATGGTGCTTATGTACCTAGAAGCAGAAAAGAGGCAATCAACTAACATTTATTGAGCACCTACGGAGGCCCAATACTGGGTTGGGCATGTTCATACACGCTTTTAGAAGCCTACTGAGCAGAATAATAGAAAATGGCACATATTTTAACGCCTTTTTAAAGTCCACATAATTACCTTATGCTGTACATTTAATGTCCACTATATTTATAGATATAGTGACCAGATTTTAAAGAAATCAAGTAAGCTTCCCTATTATTGATACATAATTTGAAAATACATCAACAAAATCTCCATCTACATTTCCATGCTTAGAATCAATAGAAAAAATACCAAAAAAATTAATGTAAGGCATGAGTTCTTAGGGACATTTTATGATCTTAGAGGATTTCTATTTAGACTATGAAGCTAGGAATTCTGAAGTTCACATTCACTCCTCTGTTTATTCTCCCCTCTCTCAAGGGTATAAGTTAGTAGAATATTTGGGAATCTCCAAATCCCTAATAAACTCCTGAAGGAAGCCACACCATGTAATATTAAGATTGTGGAACTTCTTAAAGATCTCAAAAGACTAGGATCCTCAGACAGAACCAATCAAGTGCCCACATTATAATAAAACAGCAAGTAATGAGGGTACAGAATAAAAATTCAGATCATGAGGTACATGAAAGCCTAAAAGCTACCAGAGAAGAAAATAAAAGAGTTAAATTCAAAGGAACACCCATCAGAATGGCACCAAACTTCCCAACTCCAGATGCTAGAAGAGTATAAGTTTCCAATTCTACAGGAAAATACTTTTCAAAGTACAATTCTCAACCTAGCTACACAAGCAACTATGTGTGAAGACAGAACACGTTGTAGACACAGGAAGACTCAAAATTCAGCTCCCTCATTCTCCTTTCTAATAAAGTTACTTAGAGATATGCGGAACAGAATGAGGATGTATTATAAAGAATAGGAAGACTTGGGATCTATAAATCAACAGATCCAACAAAGGACATCAGGCCAGGAAGTTTAAGGATGAGAACAACATACCTAGAAGCCACTGGCACATATCAGAGCAGGAGAAGGGAATGTCTAGAAGGAGGGTAGGACTTCTCCCAGAAAAAAACAGTACTTTAAAAACTAATCTTATATGATAGTTCTAGAGTAGGCAAAAACAAAGAACGAATGGAGAGTCACTATTACTTTCTTGTTATAAAAAACTCCATGAAAGACAAAAGAAACTCATAGTATACTGTTTAGACCTGCAGTGAACATTTACTGAGTCATAACCAACACCTTATTAATTGAACTAAACATAGTAATACAACTATATTGGGAGAAGGATGGAGGTGTATTTTAAGACCTAAATCAGAATTTATTTATTCATAGCAGAAAGTCAACAAAATCTAGCATTGATAAAGCAGTAAACCAGTTGATTATTTAGAGCTATAGCATTAACCACAAGAAAAAAAGACCTGAAAAGATTAAAAGCGACTGCCTCAGACGTGGAGGTAGAGTAAGACAAGAGTTGGTTGTTCATTACAAGGCCTTTTTTTTTTTTTTTTTTTTTTTTTTGAGATGGAGTCTTGCTCTGCTCTGTTGCCTAGGCTGGAGTGCAGTGGTGTGATCTCAGCTCACTAAAACCTCCGCCTCCCATGTTCAAATAATTCTCCTGGCTCAGCCTCCTGAGTAACTAGGACTACAGGAATGAGCCACCACACCCAGCTAATTTTTGTACTTTTAGTAGAGATGGGGTTTTACTGTGTTGGCCAGACTGGCTTGAACTCCTGCCCTCAAGTGATCCACCTGCCTCGGCCTCCCAAAGTGCTGGGATGACAGGTGTGAGGCACCACACCCAGCCCATTACAAGGCTTTTAATGTCATTTGATTTTTAAACATGTATATTTATTATTTTGATTAGCTTATTGATTTTTAAGAATTTGTCTTAGATTACCAAGTTAATGTATTATTTGCCCAAATGAAGGAAATGGCCTAGGGGTAAGATCAGGGTGGCTTATGGCAGTAGCCAGCAAACATTTCCAATAAAGGGCCAGAGAGTAAACAGAAAGTTTTGAGGGCCATATGATCTGTTGCAACTTTATAAAAACTCTGCCAGTGTAATGCAAAAACCGCTACAAATATATGTAAACAAAAGAACATGGCCATATTTCAATAAAAGTTTATTTGCAAACACAGGAAATGGGCCAGATTTAGTCTATGGGCCAGTCTGCGTGACCCTGGCTTAAACAATGACCTGAAGATAAAGTGGCAGACAGATCTGAGGTGTTCAGTGGCAGAATTTTAAAAATATTTATCTTCATTCCTACTAAGTTTTCTTCACAGATACCTGTGGTCCCTTTTATAACCAAACTCTCAAGTTTCTCAGCTTATATTCACTCTTCAAAACACTACAGTCTGGTCTCTACACCCACATCCACTCATAACTGCTTAAGCCAGGCTTGTCAAGACCTTCTTATTCTCAAATCTAATGGAAACATTAGTGTTTGTGTTTCTTGACTTCTAGTACTTCAACACTTCAACAATTTCTCCCTCTTTGAAATTTCCTTTTAACCTAGGTACTGGGGTTGTACTATCATTTTTTTCTTCCGTTGAACCAGTCTAGCCTTAGTTTTAAAAGTTTTTTCAAATAAGATGTCATCCAGGATTCCATCCATGGTACCATGTCCAAAGTTGTTACAGATATGTTTTATAATCTAATACGGATACACGCTTCAACTATAATGGAGTAGGTGGGACCAGCCTGTTCTCCCATAAGATAGTAGAAAATGGGACAAAGTGTATGATACAACTGTTTTCAGATATTGGACAACACATAGTACAGGAGACAGTGGTCTCTGAGAGGAAGGAAACACTCAGGGAGTCCTATGATATTCTGCCTAGAAACATTTTCCAGAATGCTGCCCAGGGAGGGAGAACCTCAGCAGAGTACAATCAATGGCCTCGCTGAGGTTAGGGAAGGCAAGGCAGTGGAATTTGCAGGACACAGTACTCAAAATGAAGAAGCAATAACGACTAAGAGCTCCAGAAATCTACAAAGGATCCCCTGAAGTCTTTGGTGGAACACCAAGCCGTACTTCTAGAAGCCCAAAGACCCACAACCAGGGGAAAGTACATCTACTGGGAATTTGTAAGCTGCACAATTACCACAGCTTGCAAAAGGCTCA
Organism: Homo sapiens; assembly: GCF_000001405.40. Lineage (NCBI taxonomy): Eukaryota > Metazoa > Chordata > Mammalia > Primates > Hominidae > Homo > Homo sapiens. Next base: position 152,227,856 of record NC_000007.14, read on the forward strand.
AAGACAAGTGAAGCACAACCAGTCAGAGTACAAAGACACTGGTGAACAGGGAGCAGAATTCAGTAGTGATCCCAGAAAGGCCAAGTCTTAAGTATAGGGTTAAATTAATGCTAGGACCGCAGCTACCAAAATGTGGTCTAGGGAACCCCAGTGAGTCTGTAAAGTTAAAACAAGTTTAAATAATACTAAGATTTAATTTGCCTTTTTTCACTTTAATTCATTCACAATTATACAGTGGTGTTTATAGAGGCTACATGTTGTATCATAATATTACATTGATATTGTACAGGTTGTGCTTCTGTAGTCTTGTGTTATAAAATGTTCCTAGTTTTAATTTCTAAAATGCTGAACAGTCCATAGTTAAAATCCTCATAAACAAAAACTATGGAGTCCCCAGTAATTTTAAAGAGTGTTAAGGTTCTAAAACCATAAAGTTTGAAAATATCCACCTTAGAGTGAAGACTTTCTAGACTTGCCCCAGCAAGCTTAAAAAGAAGCTTCAAAGGTATCAAACTTATCCACAAACAATTGCCTCCTACAATAAAAATGCAAGCTGAGCCAATTCACATATCCCTAGTATATTTCTAGATACTGCTGTATTTCTCAATGAGACTGCAGTATTCTATACTGTCCAAAACAGTGTCATCGTGCAAAAGGAACCATACATAATTTTTAAAAACAGGAATTCAAATTCTAGCTCTACCAGTAACTATGTGTTTGATAGTGCACTAATTGTCCAATCTTAACTTATGTAAGTCGTACTCATCTGTAAAATGGGAATTCGGTAATTGTTGGATGGGTTAAAAGAAATACATTACTATCTTGAAAGGGATCTTATTCAATTTCCTTAGGTCCAAAACATTAAGTATTCTAAAAAACAAAATCTAATGATAGCAGCAACTTTTATACAGAATATAAAGTACAAAGAAGAAAAGAAACATGTTTTATGCATATATAACTCTATTTTTTAATTGGCTTTATATACTCTGTGTTTTTCAGTCACATACCATGAGCAACTAATTTTAAAAGACTACATAAATTAACCGTACTAGTCTTCTATTTTGGATAGTATTAATTACAATCTTTCATTTTGATTCCTAAACTCACAAAAACCTGTATTACCCTATAAAATAAATACTAGTGTAGTTATCAACAAAGAATTCTGAAGGAGATAATGTTGATTTGCTTACTATACTGACATTTTACTGACAATGATATAATACAGTGATGTTTGAAGGGCAGGGGAGAAAGGTATAAAAATCACTCATGGTTCACAACCTGTTACTGAAACTGAGGTTAGTATTTATATTACATGGTATGGCAGTACTAGAAAAGATTTCCTTGTGGAGTATACAGTTTAAGACCTCTGCTGTACAGCTATACCTCCATGCTTGCTTCCAGTGGCCATGACACTTTATTCAAATATGTAAGTTTTATTAAGACTGAGTTCTTAAAAAGAAAAAACCAAGAACCTTAGATACAACTAGTGAAGTATTGAGACCTGTCCATATTTAAAACCAAGCACACGATACCACTTAAAAGGTTCCCCAGAAAGCCTCTATCCTGAAATGCTTCAAAGTGAGCAGCGCTGACTCTCGATTATTACCAATTGCATTAAATATGACACTTGTTTTGTTTCTTTTGGCTATAAGGAGAAAATGTCATTTTGTATACGAGTGAGCATAGAGGAGAGAGAATGCGGGAAAGAACAGAATGGGCTAATAATTTTTTACTAAATATTCCAGTTCTCAGCTTTTTAAATCAGCAGACAAAATGAATTAGCTAAACCTAAAATCTTTGTGAATACTATAAATTGTCTTTTAAATTAAATGCATATATTTTTATGTTTTACTTTTTCAAGACAAGTATATTGTACAATATAAGATTTATAGAGGAGCAAATTTCTTGAGATAGGAAACCCTTAAAAGCAGTATTTTAAGTATTTAAATACTGTCACATATGTTTAATAATCATAATACTTAATTGTGAGAACTGGGAGCTCATGTTACTACTAAAACCAAATAAAAATTCAATACATATTTGTTAACTCAATTTAAGGATGTTTACCTTAATACTGACACAGTATGGATGGTAACACTGACCACACTGAGAACAGGCAAGTAATCTTCCTTCTGCTCCTTGGCCAAAACTGCCACAAACTACACACATATCCTGAAGTTAAGAAAACAGAACATATTTTAAATGGAGACTAAGCTAAAAACCTACAAATTTTACTTTAAAAATACCTTCTTAACTAATATAGCTCTATAGCTAAATATTGAATGACTTCTGTGTATATGAGATAAAGCAGAAATGTGCAAGGAGGAATTCAATGAGGAAGACAGTAAATTGTCAAGTTCAAACCTGATTCAAAGTGAACTTGTCACTGCTAGAAAACAACACAACTGTATTGTGCATAGAGTTTTCTTCATCATCCTTATTTGATGAAATATCTGCAGTAGACACCTATAAAAAGCAAAATACACAGAATACGAAGTTATATTTTTCACTTGTTTTACACTTAACTGGAAAGCTTCAGAAAATTCATAATCAAAACATATATTTTGGCTAAGGTCTAGAATAACAATTCCAAATATTAATGCTAAGATACTACCGTAAAATGGAGTCGTGACATTTTATTATTCACCTAATTCTCTCTTTAGAGGTAGAATTCCTATAGACCAAGAAGTAATGAGAAAATATAATAAACCTGTCTTAGTAAGACTTGATTATGCAGAATTCTAATCAGGAAACTATAAATGATAATATATGTATGTACCCACACAAATCTATCACTATTTTAATGACACACACTTGGGATCTGCAATGTAGCTAGTCTGAACTGAGATGTCCTGCAAACATAAAATACAGCACATAATTACATATTACGTGTTGAAATGGTAATATTTTAGATATATCGGTCGAAATGGAAGGCATTAAAATTAATTTCGCCTGTTCACTATAATCTTTATTTTGTTTTGAGAGGAGTTTCACTCTTGTTGCCCAGGCTGGAGTGTAATGGCGCGATCTCGGCTCGTTGCAACCTCTGCCTCCTGGTTCAAGCTGTTCTCCTGCCTCAGCCTCCCAGGTAGCTGGGATTACAGTTGTCCACCGCCATGCCCAGCTAATTTCTGTATTTTTAGTAGAGACGGGGTTTCACCATATTGGTCAGGCTGGTCTCTAACTCCTGACCGCAAATGATCCACTGCACCCAGCTCACTGTAACTTTTTAATGTGGTTACTAGGAAGTTTTAAATTGCATATGTGGTTCTCATTATATTTCTATTAGCACTGCTTTAGAATATTATTTTGAATAACATCAAAATTTCAGTATTAGCCATATGATTATCAACCAATATTGCTCAGTCTGGACTTAGTTCTATTTGACTAAATCAACTAAGTACCCACTGGTTTGTTAATAATTTCTAGAGTGATTATGAAACAAAACAAAGCTCTGAACTAGAAGCTGTAGAAGAAGACAAGGAGGGCATTGCCAAAATCATAAAATACAATCCTCTTTCTTTAAAAAGCTTACAACCTAAGCCTGGAAAGACAGAGTTGAAACACAACAGGTTATGTTCAAGGTCAAAACATAAAACAACTGAATTACTTTTCTTGAGGAACAACTGAAAGAAGATTAACCAGCTGGGTGTGGTGGCTCATGCCTATAATCTTAGCACTTTGGGAGGCTAAAGTGGGTGGATCGCTTGAGCTCAGGAGTTCGAGACCAGCCTGGGCAACACGGTGAAATCCTGTCTCTACCAAAAATACAAAAAACAGCCAAGCGTGGTGGCACACGCCTGTAGTCTCAGCTACTCAGGAGGCTGAGGCAGGAGAATCACTTGAACCCAGGAGGCAGAGGTTACAGTGAGCCAAGATTACGCCACTGCACTCCAGCCTGGGTGACAGAGCGAGACCCTGTCTCAAAAAAAAAAAAGAAGGAAGGAAGTTTGGTTGGTTAACTAAACAGAAGGACTACATCTCAGTATTTTTCAATACAAATACATTTAAAAGCAGTTTTTTTGTTTGTTTGTTTGTTTTTGAGACAGAGTCTCACTATGTCGCCCAGGCTGGAGTGCAGTGGTGCAGTCTCGGCTCAGTGCAAGCTCTGTCTCCCAGGTTCACGGCATTCTCCTGCCTCAGCCTCCCGAGTAGCTGGGACTACAGGTGCCTGCCACCATGCCTGGCTAATTTTTTGTATTTTTAGTAGAGATGAGGTTTCACCATGTTAGCCAGGATGGTCTCGATCTCCTGACCTCATGATCTGCCCACCTCAGCCTCCCAAAGTGCTGGGATTACAGGCATGAGCCACCGCACCCAGCCTAAAGGCAGTTTTAATGGATAGTACTAATGCTTTATAAGAGCAATTTATAGTCATATGAACCCTAATGACTACAAGTGTTAATAATGCCAATATTCATCATTAGGGAGTAAGTAAAGCAATGACAAATCCAAACATTAGAAAATTACGCAACATTTTAAAAGTAGGGAGGTAGAAACTTGTATAGACTGCCATGAAAGAAATTATCAAAAGACGTTGTTGAGTGAAAAAATAAATTGCAGAACAGTATTTGAGGTATAGCACTATAATATAAAAACATGCAAAGTCATTATATGTAGTCTATGGGCATATATAATAGGTTGAATCATAAGAAATTGCTGCTTTTCATCAGTTCAGAAATAATATTGGCAATTTCATATGGATCAACCTAATATATAAATATACCAAACTGATAACAGGGAAATAAGAAGGACTGAGGAGTTAGTAATGGTAAATTCTGATCTACCTATAATGCTTTAATTTTTTTTAATAGAGAAAATGTATTGATGTGTTACATGCATAGTATTAACAAAATCAGCTTTCTAAGATTTTAGAGAATCATCCAAGATGATTCACAAAAGTAGAATCATCATCATCAGTAAGAAATTAAGTGACTACTAAAAGTAATCATTAATTCAGTCATAGAACTAATGATGCATTGACAAGACTATTGAGATATATAATTATGGAAATGGCTAAAATAGAGATAAAGTATCTATTTCTACCTCCCAACCACTAACAGAAAATTCAACACATTATACCCACTGAGCAGCTCAAAGAAATTGTAAAGATCCATTATTATTTTTAAAAGGAAATTTAACCAGTGAACGCTTTCACTGAAAATGATAAACAATATATTCCCAGTATAAACCAGAAACAAAGTCTGCAGTAGAAAACTACAATGTCCCTAGATTCAAGTGGGGGTGGGGAGTCATACTGTCATATTTAAATAATAAGTGCAGAAAAACCAAAATATTTTAAAATAATTGTCCATGCAAGAAAGAAAATAGTATCATCTAGCTTGAAGACCCACTGTTTTTATTTTATAATTTATTTCATGACCGTTAGACTGCTAGAAAAATAAAACCTACCTTGAGGGCAAAGGTAATCTTTGAGAAAATACGTGCTATTGTTGCCTGCATAGATAATAGTGTGATTTATCCAGAAGGTGATAGAAATTTCATTTTCCTAGACCACAGATATGAGCCAAGGAGAATAGAAAGTTCTGACCTAAACTTCACAAGTGTCCCTTCCAAGCAGGGACACGTAAGAGTAAACAAAAAAAGAAGATCAAATTAAACTCAAAGTGAGAAGATAGGAAAAAATAAAGATGATAATAAAAATCAATAAAACAGAAAGGGGAAAGAAAATAGACAAAAGTCCATGAAAACAAAGGCTGACTCAAGAAGGTCAATAAGATTGATAAATCTCTAGCCAGACTGATCAGGAAAAAAATAAGACAAGATGCAAATTATTAGTATCAAGAATGAGGAAGGTGAAATCATTACAGATTCTACAGGTATTAAAATAATAAGAAACATTATGATCAACTCCATTCCTTTAATTTGTCAAGATAGACAAAATGAACAAATTTCTTGAAAGATGCAAATTTATGCAAGGAGAGACAGATAACCTAAATAGGTACCTATTAAAGAAATAAAATTTGTTGTTAAAAACTGTCCCACAGGCTGGGCACTGGTGGCTCATCCCGTAATCCCAGCACTTTGGGAGACGGATCATCTGAGGCCAGGAGTTCGAGACCAGCCTGGCCAACATGGCAAAACCCCATCTGTACCCAAAACACAAAAATTAGCCAGGCATGTTGGTGCGCGCCAGTAATCCCAGCTACTCAGAAGGCTGAGGCAGGAGAATTGCTTGAACCTGGGAGGTGGAGGCTGTAGTGAGCAGAGATCACGCCACTGCACTCCAGCCTGGGCATGGTGGCTCACGCCTGTAATTCCAACACTTTGGGAGGCCGAGGCAGGTGGATCAGGAGTTCGAGACCAGCCTGGCCAACATGGTGAAAAACTGTCTCTACTAAAAATACAAAAAAAAATTAGCCAGGCGTGGTGGCAGGCACCTGTAATCCCAGCTACCCAGGGGGCTGAGGCAGGGGAAATCACTTGAACCTGGGAGGCAGTGGTTGCATGAGCTGAGATTGTGCCATTGCACTCCAGCCTAGGCAACAAGAGCGAAACTCTATCTCAAAAGAAAGAAGAAAAAAAAAAGGAAAACACAACAAAAACCCCCCACAAAGAAAATTTCAGGCCAAGATGGTTTCACTAATAAATTAACGTATAATATAAGAAGATACATTTCCACTACTACACAACTTTTCCAGAAAACTGAAGAGGAGAATATACTTCCTGATTCATTCTATGAAGCTGTAGTTATGCTGATACCAAAACCAGACGAAGACATTACAAGAATGTAAGACTACAGGCTGGGGCATGGTGACTCACGCCTGTAATCCCAGCACTTTGGGAAGCCAAGGTGGGAAAACTGCTTGAGCTCAGAAGTTTGAGACCAGCCTGGACAACATAGTGAGATGCTGTCTCTATCAAAAATTTTAAAAAAGGAGTTGGGTGTGGTGGCACACACCTATGGGCCCAGCTACTTGGGAGACGGAGGTGGGAGGTCGAAGCTAGAGTTAGCTATGATCGCACCACTGCACTCCAGCCAGGAATTAGAATGATAACCTGTCTCAGAAAAAAAAAGAAGAAAAAAAAGTGCACAGGTCTACAACCATGGTGCATCCACAGTTTTATTAATACTCAGCAAGAAAAGGGAGTACACTGTTAACAAATGCAACAGCACAGATGAATCTCCAAATAATTGTGCTGAAATAAATCAGTCCAAAAAGTGTACAGTTCTGTATGATTCCACTTATATACAACTCTAGAAAATGCAAACTAATCTTGGGGACAAGGACGGATGGCAGGGGGAATGCAGAAAATTACAGAGGGGCATGAAGAAGCTTTGGGAGATGAATATATTCACTATCATGATTGTGGTATCGTTTTCAAGGGTGTATATATATATATATATCAAAGCTTATGGAATTGTACATGTCAAATATAGCTTATATCAACTGTACCTCAATAAGCCTGGTTTTAAAATTTTTCTTTTTGAAAAAAGGACAAGAATCTAAGCTTCCTTATTCCTGGTTTAGTAGTAAACTTGAACAATTTCACCTGTCTCCTATACTTAAAATGACATTTCAGAATTTTAAAAACAGAATTTTAATAAAATAGCGAAGTTATTACATAAAATATTTGCTAGTTAGCAAATATATTTGCAATACACATATAAATAAAGCCTCATAACATGATAGTAAGCAAATATCTATCAATCTTAAAATTTTTTAAATAAAAGAGCAACTATATTACATACTGACTTTTTAGAGAGGGTTGGCATAGAAAGATAAGGAGTCAAAGAGGAAGGTAAGAAAAGAGAAAGGATGAGAAAGTAAATATACAAGAAAACATAACCAGAGGCTCAAAAAAAAAAGCAAAGTAGGACAGTAAAATAAACATTTTGACCTATTTATATGACTCTTAAGATCAAAATAACTTGCTATGAGATTTTCATCATTAACTGACATTTAGATTAGAGAAAATATACATGAAGCAAGCCTCACCCCAGGTAATACAACAGCTCCGATTCCACTTTTCAGCTTTGACCTGCCTCGGCCACCTCGCCCCGACAGTCCTGCACCTCGAGGTCTCCGCTTTCCTGGAAATCCAGACCCACGGCCCTATGTAACAGATTGGGAAAAGTCAACATTCTGTGACAGACCAAAATAATTTTTAAATCCAAATGCCACTGAGATAAAACATTTTATTAAATGTTACACAAACACTTCCTTAGATAAGTATTAAGAGACCTGGCTTATTATTTTTATCTTTAAACGTATACTCCACAACTTAAAAATCTAAATATAAAATGCTTACAACCTTAGAATCATACCTTAGGCCTGTCACTGTGAATGCTATCAGCAAGCCTTTGCATGATTTTTCTCTTTCCCACTCCTACATTCTTGGTGACGACAACAACTATAGCCTGATCCAGATATTTCGAAGTGCAACAAATTGTATTCAATATAGAGTAAGTATAAGGAAGAACTCTCTCATTAACTGGTCTCGCGGTGATTACAATAATAGCTAACATCTATTGAGTACTTACTATGTACTAATCTAAGTATTTTTTACTCTCAACAATCCCATATAGTAGGTTTTATTATCCCCATTTGAGATGAGTGTGCTGAGGAATAAAAAGGTTAAGTAACTTGTCCAAGGTCACTTAGCTAGCAAGTCTGGCTGCAGCGTCCCGGGGTTGGAAGCATATTCTGTACTGCTACATCAGCGTGAAAGTTCATTTTTGCTAGTGTTGTGTAACAGTATTCTTCCTCTCATTAAAATTAAGTCAGTTTCCTTCACTATTCAACAGTTCTCTTATGAACTCAACATTTCTACCTCATTCACCATTGTATTTAGAGGAAAATTTATCATTATTGTTATTACTTTTATTTTTGAGACAAGAACTTGCTCCGTCACTCAGGTTGGAGTGCAGTGGTGTGATCATAGCTCACTGCAGCCTAGAACTCTTGGGCTCAAGTGATCCTCCTGCTTCTGCCTCCCAAAGTGCCAGGATTACAGGAGTAAGCCAAAGCGTCCAGCCAGGAAAAATTATTTGAGGATTATAGGAAAGCTGACAAAAGGCTTTGTGAAAGCTTTGCTTTAAATAATCTGAATAATAAATACTTGAAATGGAAATAATTTATCTGACTTCTTACACAAGAAATAAACCTATGGGAAAATGTGTTAAATTCCCTGATAATTTCAGACATTAAGTACCAGAGTATGGTGTTCCCTGCCCCCTCACCCTTGTTTGTACTAATTAATTACTCCTTGAAAAAACCTGGCACCTCCCTAAGTAGATGAATTATGTATATTTAAAATTATCCAGATGCTCAGGAAAATACTTAGATGTTTCCCTCACAGTTAAGTTAAATAATATGTCATATCTTCAACTGATGTCCCTTATCATAGTTTGAAATGAACTTATTCCCTATTTAGCAGAATGGTTTCCAAGTCAAAAATTTATGGTGATACTGTAAGCATAAAATAGATACACATGAACAAAAGGAACGGGAGGAATGGCTTTTTTCCCTTTGGATGTAACAAATACAGCCAGCTCCCAGTTTCAAACTGCCACTCCTGTCTTCTCTTACCCTGCTCTCCTTGAGATCCCTTTTGAGAAGTGCATCAGCTTCTTTGCACAACAGATGGATGGCGTCAGGTTAGTTTTTTGGGGGTTTTTTTTGTTTGTTTATTTTTGAGATGGAGTCTCGCTTCTTTGCCCAGGCTGGAGTGCAATGGTGCGATCTTGGCTCACTGCAACCTCCGTCTCCTGGGTTCCAGCAATTCTCCTGCCTCAGCCTCCCTAGCAGCTGGGATTACAGGCACATGCCACCACACCCGGCTAAATTTCTTTGTATTTTTAGTAGAGACAGGGTTTCACCATGTTGGCCAGGTTGGCCTCGAACTCCTGACCTCAAGTGATCTGCCCCCTCAGCCTCCCAAAGTGCTGGGATTACAGGCATGAGCCACTGCGCCCGGCCGAGTTTGTTTTGTTTTTAAATTGGTATAAAAGATTTTTGAAAAATTAAGTTAGTGATTAAAAATCGAGACTACAGTAATCTCTCAATTTATTTTCTCGAACATGAAATGCTGACCCAGAAAAAAAGTAAGTGAAAATTGGTGGTCTATATTATCAAACTGTCAAATGAGGTATATTTATACCTCAATATCTTGGATGATATCAGGGGGAGGTAGGGAGGTTAAAAAACAATAGTTCTTCCAGTCATGAAAGAAAATAAAGTATAATCTAGAATTCCTTAAAATCCTTGATTAGTCTAAATTAAACAGCCATATTCCAGAATATTAAATATAGAATATGAAGAAAAACTGTCATCTCCAGTCAATGAAGTATTTTAACTTTTGAGTTAATACTTTTTCAAATTAATTTTTTTCTCTTCAAAATGCATCACACTACTTAACTCACTTCAAGGACTGGCAGAGCCATCAACCAATGTCATGGGGGAAAAAGCCTTGTCATTTTAAGGTATTAACCAGACAATGAAATATGCCACAATTTTGGTATTTCTTCTCCATGAGAACATAATAAATTAATGGAGCTTTTTCTTTTGCTTTTTTCTAAGCAACAAGGTTTTATGATATCATGAATGAAAAGGTCCTTAATTACCTTTTGGTCTACATGTCAAGGACTTCTCCCTCATAAAAACAGTAGTAATCACAACAAAAGGAATTAACCATAAAAAGAGGTATTAAAAATGTATACTTGATTTTTAAATGCAAGCATATTATTTCTTTACATTAAAATTTTTAGATTTAAAAAGTGTTTCTTGGAAGCTCAATCTAGAAAAGAAAGATTTAATTCTTAACATCCAGTAGGGCAAAACAAATCAGACAGAAATGATATATGAATGTAAATGCAATTTTATTTACCACTTTGATGCTCCAAATGGCACTGCCAGGAAGCTGCCTGGGTTTAAAAATTTCCCGACCTTCTGAAATGTCTGGGGACCAGGAAGGTGGGCTCACTGTATTATGGGTACTCCAAGCCCCCTAGGATATGGCAGTTGAGAAAATAGATGTGTAAAACTCAGCAACATAAAAGGTCAAAGCCAGCAACTAAGGAATTTTAGAACAGCAAAAACAAATGCAAACGTATGGAAATTTAGGACAAATTGCTTCAAGGAAGGCAAAATAAGTTAATCACTAACAGTGATTTAAACATTTAAGTATAACTTAAATGTTTGCTGCTACAATTTACATTAAATATTTTATTCTGCCTGAGACATCACTACAATGAAACATTAAAAATTAAGGTTTATAGGACATCAACATTGACTCATGAACTGCAATTACTGCACCAAAAAGTAAATAAAAGTCAATCACACTTTAAGAATTAACACTAGAAGAAAGTATTGGGGGGTTATTTTTCTTCTAACAACTATCACTCTACTTAAAAGGAGAAATGGATAACCATAAGGAATTCTATATTCTATAGCTATAAACAACCAAAACCAGTAGGCCAAAGAATGCAAGGAGAAACATAAGCAATCGATAAATGCATACACGTTAAACTGTAGAGAGCTGGTAACATTAAAATGCAAATACCATTATAATCTAAGCATTTAATCACTCTTTCTTCAGTGACCATTAGTTGTCGGTTTGGTTTTGGTTTTTACTTAGGGAAATGAATACTTTATGGAAATTACATCCAATGGACAAAAGTGAAGAAACGTTAAAGCAAATTGTCCTAAATTTGCAAATTAAAATGCCTAAAGTACCTGATAAATTATATAGAAAGTAGTATCTTATTAAAATCTATATAACTAAAACTAAAGCATTTTACTTCCAAACAACCACATTCAGCAATACCCTGAACTAATCTGATGAAGATGCTAAACAGCATAAAGAAAAATGTTTACTCCACAAAGATAACATTTTAAAGAAAAACAAGACAAATGTCAAACAATAAAAGAATATATTTTGAATTAGGTAATTCAATGGTGCATGCTATAATTTTACCAATTAAGTAACCAAAACTTAAGACAAGGTACATAGTACTTACCAGGTTTCTAGAATATCATCAAATTAAAAAGTACTATCTCATTAATCACATAAAAATACCACCAGGAATTAAAATAACCAGAAATAAGAATGTGACTACTCTTGGGGTAAGAGATAGGTAATGGAATAACAGTATTTTGAGAAAAGCCACACAAGCAATAGACTGGTTTCATTTTTAAGTCACAAACTGAATCCACACACATTGAAGTCCAGCAATCCAACTCATTCTCTCCAGCAAACACTTTATTTTTTTCCCTCCAGGATTACCGTTAGGTGTTCTTTCTTACCCATCAAATCTCTAACCTAGCTCAGGTAATCACTATGCTGATTTCACTGAGCAGCAACCACTGCAGGTCAATTACCTCACTTTCATAATTTCCAATCAACTTGAATCTGTACCTATGTCTTCTTCCCTACTATTAGTAAGGAAGTGTTGTCAAAAGCCATTTCTCTTTTCTCATTTTACTCATGCTCCTGACATCTGGCATACTGTTCTGCTGGATTTGGCAGCAGTCCACCTGTGGATATTTCACTGCCTTCCTCGCTAATCTTTCTTCATCTCCTGTACGTGTTCTTCCTCTATTTGACTTCCAAAGCCCTGGAGTTTCCCAGGGCTTGAGCCTAGATCCTAAATGGTATTATCTACAATGAGGGCATCTTGGAAGTTGATGCTTCCCATATTCTTATTTCTAGTTTTAATCAAAGATCTCCAAATTAGCAGGATTTTCAACTTCCTTCTTAGCATTTCCATTTTCTCACACAAAACCCCTCTTAAGTTTGCCATGTTTAAAATTTCTCCCTTAACCGGTTTCATCCCAGTCTTCCCCATCCTTATAAATGGCATCCAGTCCCTTGTCACTCTCCTTTGCTCCTTCAGTCCTCTCCCCCAACACTTCATCAATGCAAATCATCAGCAAATTCAAGACTTTTTATCTTCAAGTTTTGTCTCCAATCCTTCTACTTCTTGTCACTTCCACCACTAGCAGCTCAGTCGTGGCCACCACCATCTCTCACCTAACCTGCTACAAGAGTCTACTGCTGGTTATGCTTCTCCGACCCTGCATCTACTGAAGCCTTTCCCCACAGCAGCCAGAGAAACTTTTCAAAAGTACAAATGTGATCAAGCAAGTCACTATTCTATTTCAAACCTTCAATTGCTTCTCAGAGCACTTAAAAGACAAACCTTTCCCAATGCCTTTCTCCAACTAACCTTGTGGCATTTGTCTCCCCGCTGCTACGCTCCAGCTATTCTGGCTTCCTTGCTGTCCTTCAAACATGCCAAGCTCTTTATCAATCAGAGCCCGACTGACTCAGAACACTTCACTATATCATTCCAGCCCCTCAATAAATGTCTGGCATTTTCTTTCTTTCTTTCTTTTTGAGATGGAGTCTCGCTCTGTCACCCAGGCTAGAGTGCGGTGGTGCGATCTCGGCTCACAGCAACCTCTACCTCCCAGGTTCAAGCGATTCTCCTGCCTCAAGTCTCCTGAGTAGCTGGGATTACAGGCATGCGCCACCAGGCCCAGCTAATTTTTGTATTTTAGGAGCGATACCATGTTGGTCAGGCTGGTCTCAAACACCTGACCTTGTGATCCACCAGCCTTGGCATCCCAAAGTGCTGGGATTACAGACGTGAGCCACCACGGCCAGCCATGTCTGGCGTTTTCTAACCCTTCAGGTATGGCCTTACATATTTTCTCAACAGCAGACCTTTCCTTAGTGCTCCCGGTGAACCATCATCTCTCTTACCACACCATTAGTGCCTCTCATTGCATCACCACCTAGGACGTTTTATTGTTTGTAATTTTATTTAGTGGTAGGCAGTGGGGGCAAAAGATACCTAAATTACTTCTCTCAATATTTCCATTGGTTTTTCTCTGAGATTTGGCTAACATACATCTTAAATTCCTTTTAGTCGATAGTTTAATATTATGTTGGCAGTAGACAGTTCTCAAAAATATGAGACAGAAAGTCGTACTCTAAGATAAAAATAATGTTGAATAATTTTATTTCAGAAGTAAGAATTTTCTGGTAATTATGTATTATTCATCATAATTTAAAAGTTAGCTTTGATGCCAAAATTTTATCTCACTTCAAAAAGAAGACAGACTTTGTGTAATTTTATAGTTCTGAAGAAAAATTATCATTATACTTAGATATTCTGACAAATTATCTAGTATATTCCTTAGACCTTAAAACTAAAATATAGCTATAATTACCAAAGTTTAAATTATCCTTCAGATCTTAGCTTTGATCAAGAACTTACACAAACCACTCAGAAAAGGTTAGCTGCCCCTGTAATGTATGGGCTCTTCCCCTACAATCCAGTTGCAGCACTTTTTACACTGTAATTAAAGATCATGCCCCTTTCTGTTCACTGCTATGTTAAGCACCCTGTTCAGCACTTATTGAACTTTTTTTCTGCTGAGCATCTATTATCTTTTTTTGCATATGTGTATGAATTCATCAATAAACAATGAACTATGATATGAAACACACTAATGCCTCCACCAGTAATAACCTAGAATCTTGAATTTCTTCACTTAAAAAAAGTTACTAAAAATTACTAAAAAATCTATATAATGCCTCCTTAATCTACAAACTGAATTAAAAGCAAAATAGTTCCTAATGTAATCATTATTAAGTTGTAAATAGAATCAACTTGCTATCAAATACTACAGAAACTAAAAAAACACTACCTGGCAGGGACTGAATTTGAACCCAAGAAAAATAATTTAACCCAAAAACAGTTTAATATTAGCATTAAGTTTCTTTCTGTTTTGAGGCCAATTTCTCAGGTAAACTGTCCAAGCTAGTAAGTTATACAAGGACTGTGGGATGGGGAAATGAGAACAATAATGACACGTGGAGGATAGGCTATTTAGAAGCAACTTTCTATTAAAAGTCAAATTCTATTGCTGGTTGTTAAATATGATCAAAGTCACTCTTACAGCCCAAGAGTACTATCAGTTTTAAAAGCAGCCAGAGAAGGTTTGGTGTCTCACTGGCAAACTTTACACCTCCAAATCCTAAATCAACCCCAGCCCCACACTCTTCCAACATACTATGTAAAACCAAGGTTGCTTATAAACAGTAAGTCTAATTTAGGAAAAGTGAAAGCAATGAAGAGAGAGAGCCGAAAGGAAGATAACTGGTAAAAGAAACAAAAGAGTTTACAGTTTGTCTTTTTGGTAAATATAATCACTTGTATACAGTGGAGCTACAGCAGCAAACACTTCACTATTTAGGGAATTCTTAAAAGAAGTCTCATATATAAAATTGAGTTCGATATCAAGTAGAACAAGAAATTAGACCTAATCCTGTTTTGATAACTACAGAAACAGCTATTATCAGCTTTAGCCTTCAATAATTTCACAATACAAATTAGGTGGCACTAGCAACAGTAATATCTCCAAAAATACCACAACAAGCACAAGTGAACTAAAAGGAAAGTCTGGTACTTCTAATCGGCTGTGTTGTTAGCTTGGTGTTCCAAAGGGGTAGGTATTTTTTAGGTTTAACACTATGGTTCTCTGGCTACTTTTAAAACTGAAAGTACTCTTCTTATAATATAAAGTAAACTTCTTATAATTTGTCCAAGAGATATCAAAATACAGTACCTATGTTTTCATTTATGAAATTTTCTTGAAATATTTACTGTAGGCTGGGCGTGGTGGCTCACCCCTGTAATCCCAGCACTTTGGGAGGACAAGGCGGGTGGATCACCTGAGGTCAGGAATTCGAGACCAGCCTAACCAATATGGCGAAACACCGTCTCTACTAAAAATATTTAAAAAATTAGCCAGGTGTGTTGACGTGCGCCCGTAGTCCCCGCTACTCAGGAGGCTGAGACAGGAGAACTGCTTGAGCCAGGGAGGCAGAGGCTGCAGTGAGTGAGGTCGTGCCACAACTCCAGCCTGGGCAACAGAGCAAGACTCAATCTCAAAATAAACAGATAAATAAGTAAAAATAAAATAAAGAAATGTCTACTGCAAATAATACGTTTCATAAAATGCTTAATAAAAACTTTCAATACCATCATGAAAGCAATTAGAACATGAAGGTGTCTGAACTAGATCATAGTAGTGTGATTACATTCAATATCTTTCTATAAGACGTGATGATACATACAGGGTAAATAATACAAGAAGACCTAAGATTATTATCTCAGAATTTCCTAATTAGAATGGGAATACAACTGTGCAATGAGAGAAATGGACTGAAGACAGAAATAAAAACAAATGTTATGATTTAATATGACAAATTTAAAATTTCCACTTTATTTTCCACCATTTTTAAAGAGCATTCCTTACAGTATTCAGTTTAATGCATTTTTAAAAATCAGTAAGACAAGTAGCACATTTCTCTAGTTCAGAACTCCGCTTTCAGGGTTACAGTTAAAGATGATCCTAGAAGTGCATTTTAATTGGTCTAGGGTAGGGCCATTAGCTTGATGTTCTAAAATCTACCGAGTTGATTACAATATGTGGCAGTGTCAATAATCACTTTCTTAAACCCAGGTCGCAAAGTACATACACCTATAAAAATGCTGAAAAATGGGCCAGGCGCTGTGGGGCTCACACCTGTAATCCCAGCACTCTGGGAGACCCGAGATGGAAGGATCGCTTGAGGCCAGGAGTTCGTAACCAGCCTGGTCTACACAGCAAGACCCCCATCTCTATAAAAAAATAAAAAATATTTTTAAATGCTGAAAAATGAAATACTAAATTATTTATGAATAGATAACTTCAATAAAAGATGAGAAAATACAACTAGGTCATTAGGACAATTTGTATGAAACAATATCCAATTTGCTGTCTGTTACTTCTCCTACCTTATCATGTCTAATTTTTCCTCATCTTTGTGAAATCCTGCGTCTACAATAGGCAAGAAAACAAAAAACAAAAGGAATCTTATTCTATTCACAGCCATCAGAAAAATGTGTTACTATTCCTGTAGTCAGTTAGGTTCTAAATCATACATTTGAGATATATTTGAAACATGTCATAAAGAAAATAAGCATCATATTTCTCACTAAATAGCACCTGAAATATTCCATATGAAAGGAAAAATACAAAAAACTAAACTTTAATTACTAACCTCCTTAAAGGAAAATAATTCTATATGATTTGATATTTGATAATGGATGTCCAATACCTGAGATATAAATTCCATTTTCTGTGTCCTAACATCTCACCTTCAGAAAATCTCCAATATTGGGTTATTTGGATTATATATTTAAAACTGAATATACTTGAAAATGTGAAAGATTTGTTGCAGCAACAAATGGTTTAGCAATTATCTGCATTAAAATGTGTTCCATGAACAACAGAAAAAGAATATTTCTACTTCAGTCCTTAAAAATTGTGAAAGCACAGCCACAGTCTTAGTTTGTCGATCTTGAATTCTTTTGGTATTTTAATTTCACCAATAATTCCGGAACTGCTGTTTTTATATTTCTCAAAATGTTTTGTCTTGCATCGTCCAATAAGGCAGCCACCATCATATGTGACCACTGAGCACTTCTAATGCAGCTAGCCAGAACTGATGTTTTAAGTATAAAGCATCTTGTTCATTTTTATACTAAATGCTGAAATATTGTTTTGAATATACCAGGTTAAATAAAATAGATTAAAATTTATTTCACCTGTTTTTGTTTTTTTAAAGTGTAACTACTTGAAAATTTAAAATTACACATATGGTCTGCATTATATTTATATTAGACAGCACTGGCTTACCGTTCTACTAGTTGGCTAGCTTGTACCTCCAGATAACATCTGATAATCCAATCACTAGCTATCACAAACTAGATCTTTCAGATGTTTCCTATTAAAATGTTCGTTTAATTTTGAAGTGAATTCCTAGAAAAGCTCATATAATACTATTATAGAAAATCATTAAAATCAACTTAATAATTTGCCCACCATGAAACAGAACTTAAGGTAAATCTACATTTCTTTGGTTAGTATTTACTTTACTGGTAAAGACCAAAGAATTGGTAATGTTCAACAAAATATGAAAATGCCAGTGATGTTAACAAAAAATAGCTGGAAACCAAAGAATCTTGCTTACATCACAATCACAGCCAGGAAAATGCAGCTTATTTTACAGCCAATCCCCAACGTGAAGAATATGTAGAAGAAACAGTAAATAAAAACAGAAGTATAATACAGAAATGCCTAATACCAAAGAAATTCATGTAACAGAATACTGAACTTCAGTATTTCTAATATACGGATATACACATTCCTGCTAACTGTAGAATATTTCCTGCAAGTTATGGTCCCAGTGCCTCACCAATGGAAGATCTATCTTGTACTATTCAATTCATACTCTCCCTAATAACAGCACTATATTAGCAGGTTCATCATCAAGTGAAGGCTGTTTGCTAGATAACTAAAACCAAGATTGGAAAACTAAAAAGCTGGAGGGAGGGAAAACACAGCCTACAAAATACTTACAAGAGTAGCAGCAAATGATGAAGTAGTAACAAGAGGGGCAGAAAAATAGAAAGATTATCATCGGATTTGGGAATCAAAGACAGCTCAGCAAAATACTAGGACATGGCTCATATAAGATGGAATAAGCCTGGAAATACACCCCCCTCCCCAATATTTCGGAACATAAAGTCTACAGAAAAAGAGTCCTAATGTATTGAACCTGGTTTCTCAATTGAAACAAAAGTCTACAAGGAAGGAGAGATAAGTAAAATTTAACAGGAATACATATGAAGCAGTATCTTTAAAGAATGTAAATATATCAACCAAAAGTAAATTTGAGATTCAAATTTCCATTGGTAAAGTCTTTTCAGAGTCAGAACAACATAATTATTATATAACTATTCAAAACAAAACAAAAAAAAACTTACTAGAAAGGAGCACAACTGGTTTGAGAAGAAAAACTTTTCATGGTAGAGCAGAAATAACTGTCAAGGAAAATACTTAGAAAAAGGCATATATAAAGAGTGGCCTAGTTTTACTGCACACGTCTTTTGCCATGCAGAAACAGCTAAATCCCATCTGACAACTACTTTCCCTTTCGTGTACCTTGTCTTTAGAGAATAAAATATATCTGGGTTTGATATAGAGGAGACTAATTTTCACATTAAAAAATGATTTTCTTAAAAGCTTGGCCTTACAGTTTAAAAATTATACGATTAAAATCAATATATTATTCCTATAAAAAGCCAAACTTTAATCCATTTAAATCATGAAACTTAAAACTTAACTTGAAGCAATTTCAATCATGAAACTTAAAACTCCAAATTACTATTGTGAATTAACACTTCTCCACTATTTGTTATCTTGCAATTTTAAAAAACACTTCAGAAAGCAGCAATTTTGTAAAACAATAAATAATTCGTACCTACAGTATCTTCATTTTGCCATGCAGTTTTACTTAAATCTCACTTAAAAAGAAATGGAACTCATTCTTAAAGGGTAGAATGTACATGATGTAAAGCAGACAAAGGAAGATTTATCTTTACTTACTGAAAATCAACAGTACAATTCTAAGATTTTTTTCCATGAAACTACTGAAATAAGTCCTACTTGAAAAAAGAAATCCCACAAGAGTTAGCAATTAATAAAAACATCAAAATGAGAAATTCCCCAGCATGGAAAATTCCTGTCATAAATGTTGATGTTTATCCAGTTAAAAATATATACAATGAATAATATCAATAAATAAATATATTAGAAGGAAATAATAGATGTTAGTTACTGTATACCCAAAACTATACTGTATTTTAGGCTCTATATTTACTGCAGCACAGAACTAAAAGAATTTTTAAAGTTCTTTCTATTAGAAACTATTATCAATAGGTTGCATCTTTATGGCCCAACTGAGTTGAAATTCCAAATAAGATCACTTCAAATTTAATAAATGGCATTCTTCATTAACAGCATTTAAAAAATAATGGCTGAAACACATAATCAACATTACACTGAAGTTCTATCTGAAGACAGAAAAAGTTGCCATCCACACCAAAGCTACACATATACCTTCTGATTTTATAGAATTGTTCCAATATCTTTTCTGTCAATATCATTAAAATCACCCTACCTGTTTGGACCGAGGTCTACCAGGAGAAAATTTTCTCTTAGTAATAGCTGGTTTACCCATGCCAATTTTTGGAGTGACTGAGATGTAAGTTGTTGGCATGATGTTTCCAGCAGAGGAACTAAGAGCTGAAGGGTAATTATGCAGCATGTCATGCGAAGGCAAGTCTGAAGAAGGTGTTGGGGAGGAAGACACATCTGCCTTGCTTATGTCTGCTGATGATGAAAATGATGACTCTGTCTCAGATGATAACTTTATAGATTTGCCTCCTTGGTATGAAACATCTTTCACACAACCCTCAATTGTAGGAGTCATTTCAGAGTCCATCAATCCAGTAGAAAGTTCAGAATTTTCTTTCTGTTCCTTTTCTCCTTGTAGCCTTTCTATAACCAACTGTTCCTCAGGACATAATGAAATACTTTCCTCATGTGGGGACACTAAGGTTTCTAGTGGAAGAGTGACAGATTCCATGACTAATTTTGGAGGCCTTGATTCTTCTCTGGATACCACTGTTTCAGGTTCCTCTAACAACTGCAGTTGTTCTTGCTGCACAGTGATCTGGTGTGTAACGACTTCAATGTTTTCTGTCACTTCCATTTTATCTTCAATTTGATCTTCGCCACAAATATGCTTCACTTCAGAAGACATTTTCAGGTCTTCACTATCAACTTCATTAGAAATCTGTTTTTCCAATTCAGTATTCACTGTATGTTGGGATGATACTACAAAATTCAGAACATTTGTTATGGCAATGTACAAACAAATTTTAAATTTTCTAACTATAGATATATAAAACATTTGGCTACACTAGAACTTAAATCAGAAGGTATTCATCAAAGCAGACAATTATTAAGTGAATGAAAGCCAAAGTACACAAGGATTTATGGATTAGAATCAGCCACACACCAGAAAACCTAATGAAAACATTATGTTTTACAACTTAAGGATTTCCAAATGGATTGAAAATTACACAGGAAAAGTTCTCATACTCATTTTTTAGTTAAGAAAATGAGGATCAATCATGTTATGTGAGGTACCTAAGTTAAAAAGTAAAGAGTGATCTAGAATGTGTAGGCATTTTCTAATAGTAGATACCCAGATGTAACAAAGTTACTATAGACTCAAAAGCACAGACAGAAAAGATTTACTAACCACCAATATTTATTTTGCTTAACCATACCTGCCAACCTACCCAAAATATTCTTTGGATATAATCCTTGTTCTTCATCACTGTCTATAAATTAAAAGACTAATCTCAGGAAATCTATAAACTTAGATATCAGAAACATAGTCACTGGTAAATTTTAAATCAGGATACCAGTATGTTAAACCTTTAACTCAATCTCATCAAGGTAATTTTTAAGTTATAGTAAAAAGACACTGCTAGCCTCATTTACCAATCAGTGACTAAAATTTATCTGGTTTTTTTTTTTTTTTTTTTTTGAAACAGGGTCTCACTCTGTGACCCAAGCTGGAGTAGAGTAGCACAAACATGGCTCACTGCAGCCTCAACCTCCTGGGCTCAAGTGGTCCTCCCACCTCAGCCTCCCAAGCTGCTGGGACTGCACACATGTGTCACCATCCCCAGATACTTTTTTTATTTTTGTAGAGACAGGGTCTCACTATATCGCCCAGGCCTATACATGTTCTGATATCAAACTGAAATCTCATCTTCTTTCCCACTTTATTGAAAGACTACAGGTAGGGATAAAAGAAAACTACCAAGTAACAGATCTGAAAGTACAAAATATTTTTAATCATGACCTCCCCCCTCCAAAAAAAAAAAAAAAAAAAAAAAAAACCTTTCAAGAGAAACTAACCTTCTTTAGATCCATTGTCAATTCTTTTCCAGAATCTCTTAACTAAAAGATTTAGTTACCGTAATGTATATACATACAGCAATCGCAAAAATGTCTTTGGGATAAAGACATTATCTTGTAACTCAATCAAATTAGACAATATGAACATACTGCTTACCAGCAATAAGAAGACTATCTGTGTCAAGACTTTCTGAGGGATGACTCTTCTGTTGCTCTTCAGTGTGGACTTGAACCGCTGTGAGTAACACATTTATAAAATCTCTAAGGAGTCAAAATTTCTGTAACACTGTTCCCTCAACAGTAATTTGAGTAAAGAGTTTTATTCTACTAAATGTCAATTTCCAATATAAGCATGAAACATTGTACCACTTATTAGTAAGTTATGAAGACAAAATTAGAAGTCTTTGCACTATGGTAAAAATTTTTTAATTGTCTTTTTCTCTTTTTCTTTAACAACTAGACCTCACAAGAAAGATTATAGAAAATAATTTTAATGAGAGTTATTATACGTAAACTTAATAAATTTCAAAACATCTCAGTGGCTTTTTATGTATACATTATAATTTTTATGTATACTATATAATTGAACATACAACTTCACATACAACACCAAAGACTTTCAGATGAGCCTGTGATTAAATGTAACAAGTAGTTTTCCCCCAACATGGTCTCTTATTAATTCCAGATCTGCAAGTACAATAATAGCTCTTATCAATATTTACTACAAAAAGCTTAATTGAAACATCATGGAAATAAGTGAAATAACCCTCAATAGGACTGCTGAGATGATCCAATACAGTAAATTTTTCATTATCTCAGCATGAAACATCTCATCATCAGCAACAGCTCTACTTAGCAACTACAACTAAAGAAATAAAAATACGAATTGCTTTTTAATAGAAAATCACTTGGTCCCTTAACCAAGTAAGTACTTATGATTAAGTCTAGATGGTAGCTGAACTACAAATACACGCATGTCCTTTCTCCTATTAATTTGTCTAAGATTATTTTACTAAAAAACTCTTCCTAAGTGACTGCATCTTGGCTTTTACTGAAGTTTTAGTCAATATTCACATATTTATTGTATATACACATTTTCTTCAAAAACAGAGTATATCCATTAAACATTCTTACCATCTGGAACAATTCCAGGAGTGGACTCCTGACCGTTGACATCTTTATTAGCTGCCTGCTCTGAGAATACCATTTGATCTTCAGGGCCTTCAACTTCCATTTCATTGTTATAATCTTAACAAAAAATTATTAATTCTTTAGCTCAGAATGAGTTTTTTTCTTTGTTCATTAAGTCAACAATTATGATTTTGTATGAGTAAGGGCAAATCATCACCAAAAATGCTTTAAGTTTTTCTTCAGATTTTTCTCTGTTGAACCACATGTATATTTACATTTTTAAAAAACATGAAAATTATAATGCATCAAAAGGTGGGCCAACCGTGGTAGTTCATGCCTGTAATCCTAACACTTTGGGAGGCCAAGACGGAAGGAACGCTTGAAGCCAGGAGTTCAAGACCAACCAGGCCAACATAGTGAGAACCCATCTCTAAAACAATTTTTTTTAAAAGGTAACTGGCACATTATTTTAAAAGGATATTTCAAAACTAAATACTGATGGCATTCTGGAAATGAAAGGTTAGTAATTAAGATGTTTAGTTATCCTTGAAGATGATAAAGAGAAGTTTTACAAAAGCTGCCACTCATAATGATGAAAATGAAAAACAATCTGGCGAGCAGTTCTATTTCCTTTACTCTCTAAGACTCATGTTTTTAACAGTAGGATACTACTAAAAATATTCCATACCTGAACAAAATCTTGGGCTGAAAAGGTGATAATTAACTTAAGAAGGACATTACAAAACTACAACATGCTTAGAGAAAAATAACCCACATTATAAAGAACAAACTAAGCAAACCCAAAGACTGGGGAACTTCCACTGTCGGCCTGAAGAACACAAGTGAAGGAAAGCACACTAGACCCGGAATTCAAATACTAAAAAAAACTATCTTAAGTTAGATTAGATTTTAGCCATCAGATTCAGAGATGACCAAGATAACAAATACATTTAAAGGTTGAGAAACTGAGAACAAGATGGAATCTGGAATACAGGATCCTCTCTTCCTGATTAAAGCAATATATTGGTGATACAATGGCACAACATTACAAAAACAAAAAATTTAAAAAAAAATCATTCTCAAATTTACCTGTAGTGAGCTCAGCTATCTCCACTTCCTCACCTGGCTGTAAACGATCCATCTCAGCTCCCAGGTGTTTACAATACATGCAGATATACTCTTCTTTGAGCTGAGTATCCAGTTCATGATCTGTTGGTTTGTCACACTCTAGGTGAACCCACCTGCAGTGATAAGTATACTTAAATAAAAATTTCTAACATCGAGTTATTATCTAGGTAAAGAGAAGGCATTGCTGAAAAGCTGGATATGAAAACAGTTAATTAAGTATGAGAGGAGAGAGGTTAGAGGAGTTGCTAACTGACAAAGGTTTTTTAAAGCACATTTGTGCATGTCACTAGAGATGCTGCCGTATTTTTACTTGACATTTTTAAGCTATTTTCTCTTTACTTTTCCCTATTAGTGCTCATTTCTGATGTGGTCTGGTCTTATCTTTTGCCCATTTACTTCCTTATGCCTTTGAGACTCAAAAACATCATTTAATTCCATCTATAACAGCAATCAGTACTGATGGAATTGCTAGAGTGATAAAAACTTAGAAGCTGTAAGATGGTAGAGCAAATGACCACATGAATAAAACAATCGACAAAACAACTGAATAGAATAACTATCTTCTTACCTTTTGCACATATTACAATGAAGCATGTCTTTCTGCAATTCTGGATGATAACACTTCCCACAGAAGGGACATAAGTTATCCTGCTGTTGGTAACAATTGTCACATATCAGGCAATTGTGGTGCCACTGAGAACTAGACCGTGTGCCACACTCTATACATATTCTGCAATTCTAAACACCAGGAAAAATAAAAACAAAAACAGTTTGTTATGCATTTGTAATTGTAGTTCTGATGTAAACCTTTAAAAAGTCATGAATCATTTGTGGATTATACATTAAGCTTTTATTTTCATGACACTAATTTAGGGTACATGCTTTTTTTTTTTGAGATGGACTCTTACTCTGTTGCCCAGGCTGGAGTGCAGTGGCGCAATCTTGGCTCACTGCAACCTCTGCCTCCTGGGTTCAAGTGATTCTCTCCTGCCTCAGCCTCCTGAGTAGCTGGGACTACAGGTGTGTGCCACCACACCCAGCTAATTTTTGTGTTTACTAAAGACACAGGGTTTCACCATGTTGGCCAGGCTCATCTTCAACTCCTGACCTCAAGTGATCTGCCTGCCTCAGCCTCCCAAAGTGCTGGGATTACAGGTGTGAGCCACTGCGCCTGGCCTTAGGGTATACACCTTTTAAAAAGCTGTTTTCAATGTCTGATGTGGCCTCACAAAATCTGCACTAAAATCTCCAGGAAAATTTAAATAAGGGAATGGGGATATCCAGGAAAACATATAGGTGGAAGAGATAAAACCAAAAAGACAGCAACTCAAAATTCAAAAAAAGAAACATATGCTAGGAGCAGGAAGTAATTTTTGTGGAGTAAGTCTGCTCAACTCTAAAACAATAGCATGGCCAGCCTGGTGTGATGGTTGATGCCAGTAATCCCAGCACTTTGGGAGGCCAAGATGGGAGGATCGCATGAAGCCAGGGATCCGAGACCAATCTGGGCAAGAAGGCAAAACACCTCTTTCTCTACAAAAAAAAAAAAAAAAAAAAAAAAAAAAATTTAATTAGCCATGGTGGTGCACACCTGTAGTCCCTGCTACTTGGGAAGCTGAGGCAGGAGAATTGCTTGAGCCTAGGAGTTTGAGGCTGCAGGGAGCTCACGCCACTACACTCAAGCCTGGGCAACAATGTGAGACTGCCATGGTGGGTGGGGAAACACAGAGCACGGTCAACGCCATGTGACTTGGTGTCTGAAAATGTGAAAATATATTGCTCCACATCAAAAGTCCAATGATGGCCCTTCATGTTTTTAGAATAGAGAGAGTGTCCTATCCTTACCAAATTAGAATTGTTTATGAAGTAAAAGGCCAACCAGAGGCCAGCCAAAACTACTTCTGTGCCTGTGAGCTAGTCAGCCTTAAAACCCTGGGTATCCCTGGGTGTAAGGTTAATACATTGTGGGGCTCTCATTACCCACCCCAAATTTTGAATCTAAAATATCAATAAAAGGGAACTTTATCTTTCTGTGCTACCAGGTTGATATGAAAGGGATGCTCACTTAAAAAGAGAAACTACCAGGAACCATAGATCAGCTAGTCTTAAAGATTAAAATGAATGCACTTAACAACACTGATGCAAAAATCCTAAATAGCTGGGCACGGTGGCACAGAACTGTGGTGTCATCTACTTGAGAGGCTGAGGCAGAAGGATCTCTTGAGCCTAGGAGGTAGAATTCAGCCTGGGCAACACACAGAGACCCCATCTTTTGAAATACATACACATATATTTTTTAAAAGAATGTATTATCCTTTATCTAATGAGAAGGAGAAAAGAAAAACAATCCTAAATAAAATACTATCAAACAGACTCTAATACCACATTAAGAAAATAATAACTATGCCCAGGTGGAGTTTATACAAGAAATTCAAAGATATTTAATATTAGAAAAATCCATTAATAAAGTTTAACAAATTAAAAGGTCTGAGGAGAAAAAATTATTTCAATGCAACAGATGATTAAAGAAAGAAGTCTTTGGGAAGAATCAAAACCCATTACTAATAACTCTTGAGAAAGTAAAAATGGATGGGTATTTCTCTAATGTGACCAACATAAATACTTCAATTCTAAAGGCAACATCTTATTTTATGGGAGAGCCCGAGAGGCATTCCCACTAAGGACAGGAAAAAGCAAGGGTGCCTATTATCTCCACTACTATTTTAACATGGTTCTGGAGCCAATGCAAGCATTGAAACAAATGAAAACAGAAACATAAGACCAGGAAAAGAAGAAACAAAACTCTTAATTTGTAAACAGAGTTGGAACATCCTAGAAAATTGTTCAAAAATTCAATAAAAGAATTCAACAAAGTACTAGGATATAAAATTAGCATGCAAAAGGCAATAGAATTCACACACACAAATAACGAGTTAAAGGATGGTAAGAAAACCCCATTTATAACAGCAGAAAAATAAATATTCAAGAATAAGCTTAAATGTTGAAAATCAGTATGAAGAAAATTATAAAACACTCCTAAAAGACACAAAACTAGACTTTAACAAACTTGTAAAGACATCCCTTGTTCTTGGTTAGGATGTCTTAAAATCAAGATGTCAATCAACTCTCACTTATATATATATATATATATATATATATATATATATACATATATATATATGTGTGTGTGTGTGTGTGTGTGTTTTGGAAACAGGGTCTTGCTCTGTAGCCCAGGCTGGAATACAGTAGCATGATCATGGCTCACTGCAGCCTCGAACTCCTGGGCTCAAGTGATCCTCTCACCTCAGCCTTCTGAGTAACTGGGACTATAGGCGTGTGCCACTACACCTGGCTAATTTTTTTGTATTTGTAGAGAGGCAGTTTCACCATATTGCCCAGGTTTGTCTCAAACTCCTGAGCTCAAGCAACACCCCTGCCTTGGCCTCCCAAAGTGCTGGGATTACAGGTGTGAGCCACTGCACCCAGACACTCAATAAATTAAATGTGATTCCAATAAAAATTCCAATGAGGTTTTTATTGGGGCTACATATGGTGATCCTAAAGTTTATACAGAAAAACAAATACACAAGCACAGATAAGAAACCTGTGAAATGGATAAGTTCTGAAGGGGCCCAACATTACCAGATACTACAAAGGCTCTATAACAAAAACAGTGTCGTACTGGTGAATGAATAGACAGATCGATGGAATGGAAAAGAGGTTCCAGATATAAGTTCAATCAAATCTAACATTGTAGTCTGGAATCTCAAGTCACTAGGGCAAAGACAGTCTTTTTAATGAATGGTTTTTAGAAAACTGAATAGCCAGTTGGAAAAAGATACTCACATCATACACAAACATCAACTCCAAATAGATCAGAGATTTAAATGTAAAAAATAAAACAATGCAAGCCATACATGGTGGCTCACAACTGCAATCCCAGCACTTTGGGAGGCCGAGGCAGGCAGATCAATTGAGGCCAGGAGTTCAACACCAGCCTGGCCAACATGGCAAAACCCTATCTCTACTAAAAATACAAAAATTAGCTGGGCGTGGTGGCGCATGCCTGTAATCCCAGCTACTTGGGGGAGCTAAGACATGAGAATCACTTGAACCCGCGAGGGGGAGGTTGCAATGACCCAAGATTGAGCCACTGCACTCCAGCCTGAGCGACAGAGTGAAACTCTATCTCAAAAATAAAATAAACATAAAAACTGCAAATCCTAGCAGAAAATATGAACTCCTCTATACCCTCAGTGTAGGGAAAGGCTTTCTGAATATGACTCAAAAATCCAGAAGCAAAAGAAGATTAATAAATCTAACTCCATAAGAAAGAAACTTTTGCATGGCAAAAAAAAAATAATAAAAACAAAGTCAAAAGACACATAATACAGCCTGGACAACATAGTGAGACCCTGTCTCTACAAAAGTAAAAAATTAGCTGGGCTTGGTGGTACACATAACTCCTAGCTAACTCGGGAGGCTGAGGCAGGAAGACTGCTTGAGCCCAGGTCAAGGCTACAGTGAACTATGACCATACCACTGTACTATGGCCGGGGTGATGGAGTGAGACACTGTCTCACACAAATAAGCAAAAAAAACAAGAACAAATAAGCTGGCAGAAAGTATCTGCATCATGTAACACAGATAAAAGCTTACATCCCTAACTTATAAAGAACTCTTAAATTTAGGGGAAAATGCCAAAATCTTCAATAACAGGCAAAACACATGAACAGACAATTCACGAGAAGAAATTAAAACTGACCCTTAAACACATGAAAAAACGATCAACTTCACTCAGGATAAACAAAAATTAAAACTACATTGATACACCACTTTTCGCCCAGAAGACAGACAAACATTCAAAAGCTGAACAAGTCATCCTGTTAGCAAAGACGTAAGAAAAGTTCTCTCACACATCTCTGGTGGCAATGCAAAGTACCATAAGCCCCAAGAAAGGGAATCTGACAGTATCTAACAAAGCTACATATGTGTACACTCCTGAGGCAATAATCCTACTTCTAGGAATTTACCCTACAGATTTGTCCCTGAGAATTCAAAAACACACATGCACAAAGCTAGGGAGTGTAAAATCATTTATAATGCAAAATATCGTAAACTACTGAAATACCAAAGCACAGGCCATTGGTTGAGTAACCCATAGCACAGATACACAATGGAGTGCTATGCAGCTGTTTAAAAGGAGAATGAGATCTCTTGAACTTGCCTAACTTGCCTGGAAGTGATTTCCAGATTTTATTACACGAAAAAAGCAACATGCAAAAGAACATACACAACATGCTACCTTCACTGAAAATAAGAGCAATATATCTTCTTATTCTTAGACGAAAAATAACAGGAGGTTTAAAACAGAAAACAATGAAGTTAGTTACTTCCAAGAGGTTGGGAGAAATGGAGTATAAATAATAAACAAGAGGCAGTGACAATTCTGAGTAAAACTTCATATAGTATTGAGTTTTGAAAGTATACTAATATCTTCTATATTTAAAAAATTAAATCACTAAGAAAAGAAAGGGGAATAAAATCTATTACTGAGAGCAAACTGAAGCAGACTTGCTTTTTAGATTGAGCAACTGAATAAATGTGCTGATGTTGCTACAACCCAGAATTTTTATTGTAGAAGAACAGACATGCAAGAATGAGAAGGCAAAGAATTCAGTGGAGAAGGACAAGAACTGGAGGTACTGGTGTAAATTCATTATTTCTAAGTTATGCATATGTATATGAATATTTATGTGTATATACGTTAAGTGTAGGGGTGTTCAATGTTTTGGCTTCCCTGGACCACACTGAAAGAAGAAGAATTGTCTTGGGCCACACACAAGATACACTAACACTAACGATAGCCGATGAGCTACACACACACGCACACACACACACACACACAAAAAAAACACCTCATAATGTTTTAAGAAATTTTATGAATTTCTGTTGGGCCACATTCAAAGCCATCCTGGACCACATGTAGCCTGCGGGTCATGGGTTGGACAAACTTCTGTAAGTGTATACACACGCATGTATTTCCTGACACCACCTGCTGAAAGGATGAAGAAGCAAACACCCTTCAGTAGCAATGAGCACACCCAGCACCCATTCCCCACTAAAGGAATCTGGGTTACTTATTTAACAATGGACTTATTCCAGGGCTGGGGCACAGGAGGTATAAGATGAGCTTGTAACATCTTGTTACACCAAAAAGTATGAAGTGTTCAAGTAAGTGGTGAGGGCACAACACCAGCGCCAGCTTGAAGGAGCAACTGACAGCAAGTATGGGACTATTTCAGCCAAAAAATAATTAGGTAATGAGTTGTAAATGATTGAAGATAATAGGAGCTCATGAGTCAGTATTAATAAGTAAGTTTAACATGTGAAAGAAGTGTTCTTGCTTACAAAAGAAAGCAGAGGGCTAACTGGTAAATGCGGTGGGAGTGCTAGAGCTGGAAATGCATCATTTGCAACCAAAACAAAGCAGGTTAAAATGGCATCATCAGGCAGTAAGTTTGTTGTTGTTGTTGTTGTTGCTGTTGTTGTTGTTGTTGTTTTTGAGACAGAGTCTATCTCTGTCACCCAGGCTGGAGTGTAGTAGCATGAGTTCGGCTCACTGCAACCTCTGCCTCCCGGGTTCAAGCAATTCTCCTGTCTCGGCATCCTGAGTAGCTGGGATTACATGGCACCCACTATCATGCCTGGCTAATTTTTGTATTTTTATTACAGACAGGGTTTCACCATGTTGGCCAGGCTGATCTCGAACTCCTGACCTCAACTGATCCACCCGCTTCAGCCTCCCAAAGTGCTAAGATTATAGGCATGAGCCACCACACCCAGCCTAGGGAGTAAGTTTTTCAAATCTAGAAGGAAATTCTGAGGAAAAGCAAGATATTTGCATGGTCTTAAAGTGTCCTTACATACTGCTTTATTAGATACAAAGGAGGGGGAAAAGAAATTGGACAACAGCCTGACCAGGTGATTCCCATGAGGGAAAGTGGAATAATGTGTGCTTCCAGCTGTGATACCCTGAGGATGGATCAGTACTTTGCAGTATTCTGGCCAATAATGCATGCCTCTCATCTAATTATAAGGGGATATCAAAGACAAAATGGGGAAATTTGTTTGAAAAAAAGAAAAAAACAAGTATATCGAGAAGAACTCTATTCTTCAAAAATACCAATGACAAAAACTAAATCCTAGAACCTACTTGGAGGAAGGGGTAGGTTATGAAGGACATAAGATCAAATGACATAACTGGAATATGGCTAGTACATTAGATAAACATACTACATTGATGTAAGTTTAGGAAGTTGATAGCAGGATTGTGATTTTTTAAGAATATTCCTACTATTAAGAAATACATACTGAAATGGTGGTAAAAAGGCACAACGTATGTAATTAACCCTCAAATAGTAGGGGGTTAGGGGGAATAGAGACAAAAACACAGACACACACACGCGCACACACACACACACACACACACACACACACACACACACACACAGAGAAAGCAAGAGAGGGCATGCCCAGTGACAATGAAATGCTAACAACTGATAAATCTAAGTAAATGCGACATGGGTATTATTTTTATTTTCTCCAACTTTTAGAGTTTGAACTTATTTTCAAGTAAAAACTTTCTAAAAACACATAACATACCAACAAACAGACATTCTTGAGATAAAAATAGGAAAAAGAAACCTATCTGACAATGACTGGTTTACAATAAAGATCCTGAAAAGATTACCCCCACTCCAGCTCACCAGGGAGCAGCCCCAAACTAGACTGACAGCCCTGTGGGGGCACACTGATTTGTCCCAACATCTCCAGCCTTCACTACAGTTTCACACACAGTAAACACTCAAAAGTTAAATGCAAACAAATGAGCAAATTATGACTCAAGACTACAGAGAGAACTACAGAAGAATTTAACAGCAGAGAAAGATGATCACTCTTCAAATGGTTCAAAGGACAAACCTTTCAATCCATGAAAAACTCTGGTAACTATTTCTGTACTTACTTTGTGTTAGGCATTGTGCTGGGCACTTTATAGATACCACTTCATTAAATCCAACATCCCTGTGAGGTAAGTACCGTTAACCTTCTATACACTGACTTAGGGAAGTTAAACAGGTAGCCAAAGATCATCAATTTAGTAACTGAAAAAACTGCATTTTGACTCCACAGCATAAGCTTTGAACCACCACACTATAGTCCCTTCATAGAACAGGATAAAAAGATTAAGTATCCAATAGTATTCCCAGAAATTATGTAATTCTGTCACTCTCAAAAGAGAATAGCAGATTACAAAGAGCAAATTAGAAAGAAGCACACCAAAGGGGAGACAGAACAAGCTGAGAAAGACACCCAGAATTCTCTACCAGTTCTCAAGATAATGAAAACCCTAATAAAGAAGATCAAGAGCAAGAACAAAAATTATCCAGTAGTTACTAGATATTATTAGAGAGTGTAAAGAAGGTAATTTTTTAAGTAAATATATTTTTTTAAAAAGGTGCTGGGGTGGCGTGGGGGATGGGGACTCACACATCTCCCAAAGCTTTCAGGAAGAAAAAAAGGATTATGATTAAATTTTTTAAAGTTAAGATTTTTCTTGTGACAGCATAAACTGAAAAAACTGAAGAAAATGTTTTCAGAGTATAAGAAAGAAAAATTTGTAATATGAAACATTATACTGTGCCAAGTTCTTATAGCCTAAAGGGAACAGTCTCTTTCAGACATGTAGGGTTTCAGAAAATTTATAATTATTTTTAAAGGAACATAACCAAGACTCCGAAAGATTGAGGGTAAAGTTGGAATTAACAGAGGAAATATATTTTTGAAAGAAAATTGTGACAAGGTTTATAATCTAGGTTAATCAAATCAAACAGAGAAAAGGGGAATAAAAACTTCATTTTCAGTGGGGAATGGGAGAAATTTTATATCTTTAACATTTATAATCATTTACATTCACAAAATGAGATTCTGAATTATAAATCATTGCAGGAAGTAAAAGAAGAGAAAAGTAGAAAGGAATTATAAGAACAATTTTGCCTCAAAACAGCCAAGCATTTCAATTACAACCATCAATCCAAACAGTTACCTCTATTAAGCTTTTCAAAAGATAACATTTTTATAACACAAAAGAATCCAAAATAAAAAGATGTGAAAAGATAACCATTCAACTGTTAAACTAACACCCTACGTGGCCATAGTGTCAGGCAAAGCAAAATACCTGCCCTTCCTGATCCCTCAACAAAAAACACATTACATAGAATAAAGAACAATTTCATACTGGTAAAAAGCACAATATATTAACACTGGCGTGACCTACTTGCTAAATAACAGCCACAAGGTATTTGTTTAAAAATATGATAAATTGATAGGAACAATTAATAGTGGTCAATTGTAACAACTTGTTGAATCAACAAGTCAAAAAATAAGGTAAAAGGACTTCATCTAACTAAATGAAATTAATAAACACAAATGCTACACCTTTAAAAAGTCACTACAAGTATCAACACATTTATTTTAAAAAACCTACCTTAGTTAAATTATCTGATTAAATGAAATGAAAGCATAAATTAACATACTTCAGCACAACTTAAAAAAAAGATAAAGATATTCGGTAAGGTATATACATACATAAAGTTACAAATACAATAAATTTGGCTT
Source organism: Homo sapiens (assembly GCF_000001405.40). Classification (NCBI taxonomy): domain Eukaryota; kingdom Metazoa; phylum Chordata; class Mammalia; order Primates; family Hominidae; genus Homo; species Homo sapiens. The sequence goes on from NC_000007.14 coordinate 152,261,656, forward strand.
CAGCCAAAGCTACAGCCGAAGGTAAACTTATAGTCTTAAATGTCCTTTTTCCTTAGGAAAGGAAAGAAAATGAATTACAAATTCAACTTCATATTAAAAATAAAAAGGCAAGTAGAGGAACTGAGTGAAGATAAGAGTGTAAATATACAAATCAGTCAAATAGCAGAGTTTTTCCTTTCCAATGATAAGTCATTCAGCAAGAGAAGGAATCTGAACTACCTGAGGAAGCAGGCCAGAGTTCATCACAATCCTTCAGCCCTCAGACCCCACTTCCCAGGTAGCCACAGCTGAGCACAGTTACCCAGCAGCTCTTTTTCCCCCCAGGAGAGAAAGCCCCTCCCCTCAACCCCCACCACTCAGGCAGATGCCTAATAGGACTTGCTGAAGACCACAAAAGAACCTGGTAATACTGCTTGCAGTTCTAGGTGCCAAACCTCACTGGCGAGGACAGGGTGCAGGTACAGAATCTCCCTGCGTCTGCTCCACCTCCTCCCCCAGCTGGGGACCTGGGGTTCTGGCCACATCACCCTCCTTTCCCAGGCCCTCCACCTCCTCACTAGAAAAAGCAGTTCCAAGAAGAGCAATGACAATGCTGTGCCTTCCACTCCCGCACACGGGCCATCATGCCCTCTCCAGCTCCAGGAAAAACCCGCTCCAGGCCCATGCAGCACCTGAGGGTCATCTCCATCCCTCAACCTCGCAACACCAGCAGCCCAGGAAGACTAAGCTTAAAAGCTAAACCGCACCTTGGATTCCAAGGGCTATCTCCACTACCCCACTGCCCCCAACCCGGCTCTGAACGCCTCACCCTGAAGGGGCAGAAGCCAAGTGAGGTAGGAAGTTAGTTAATGAGCTCATCGGCATTTTTTGTAATAGCTCAAAATTTTGAAGGACCCAAATGTTCACCAACAGGTGATTCAATACACAAATTGTGGTATCTCCAGCACTCAGTAATAAAAAAGAATCACTACTGATCTGTGCAGCAATATGGATGAATTTCAAAATAATTACACTGAGTTAAAGAAGCCAGACCAAAAACGAGTATATAGTATATGAAGCTTTTATTAAAAATTCTAGGAAGTGAATACTAATCTATAGTGAAAAAGCAGACTAGGAAGACAGAGTTTGGGTTTGAACAGCCACAAAGCAAGCCAAGAGGCACCAGGAAACTTTTGAGGGTGATGACTATGTTCATTATCTTGAAGAGTGTACAGTTTATTATATGTCAGTTATATGTCAATAAAGCTGTTTTTAAAAAGCTGATGGTGATGATGTACAGATTTGAATAGGTATCCGATTTGTCTGGTCTCCATATAAAACATAGAGAGGATTTAAAAAAATAAATAAATAAACAACTTACTTTGCATTTCCAGCCATTGGTTGGTACTGATTTCATAACTGGTTGAAGACAAAAAGTATGATACCCTTTGTCACACGTATCACACACTAGCATCTTGCTATCTTCTCCCGATTGTCTAAAAAATAAGATAGCATTAATGATGCCTTATCTTTAAACTTATGTTTTGTAACATAAGTAATCATGAAAATAATCAGTCCTGGGAACTGCACAGTTCATAAATACCTCAGTATCTGTTTTGTCTCTGCAGATAGTAACAGAGGTAACCCTGCCATAAGGATTACCTCCTAAATGGTGATCTTTACTCAATGCTCACCTATGGTTAACTTGCTCTAGCCATTTTAGGATTCCTGCAAAGGAGGAAGGGTTAAGGCAAGATGAATAGCCTCTGATCTTTACTTTTAAAATAGAATTTTTGAGAGGAAGGTGCTATAACTGATAGGTGCTACTGTGTGGAAAGGAACAAATCTTGGCACAGCGAATTGAAAAGACACTGTCGTATAACGTAAAGAGGATCAAATTTGGCATCAGATCTCTATTTGTATTCAGGCTGCTGTTTTCTAGCTGTGTCACTAAACAACTTAGACTAAAGCTCTCTGAGTTCCAGGTATAAAATGGGAATAATAAAGATTACTGCGAGAATTAAAGGTAATGCGGGTTCAAGTGCTTAGAATGTCTATTAAGCAATTAAATGCTGAATAATTATTTCAAAATACGAACCTTGTCATAATTATTAAGAATTATAGTTGAAAACCTAAAATCTTTCTCTAAACACTCTTCTGCCCCCAAAGATTGGGCCCCTGTCCTACAGCTTTATCTCTGTTGAGATTTTTGACTATAATCACTTTCAGATACTATGATTTTAAATTCAAGAGGAGGGGAAAAGAAACAACAGGGAAAGCAAGAAGAGCTGAGAGAGGAATCTCTGAATGAAATCTGGGGGATAAATAGATGTCAACAGGAAGATGGGTCAGTTAGCCTCCAATTATTATTCAGTTCAGCCTCTCCATAAAAAGTCACGTTTTATCTCCTCAGCTACGTGGAAAGATCTTGGAGGACAAGTACTCTTCCTTCAAGTTCTTTTAATCCTTCCCAAGAAACTGAGCGCAGATATAAGGTATCGAATAAATGTTTACTGAATATTTTATCTAATTTTTACCAAAATATGGAGGTACATAGTCCTATTTATGTCACGTAACTCTAAGATACTGACGTTTATTTCTTATCAAACTAAATAATAAAAACAGACTGATCATGGCAGTTGGGCATAATTCTTGCTGGTTACAACAAAAATTCTCAGCCTGTAAATGAAGATACTGGTAACATCCCCAAATTATCATGCTCATTAGAATCATGGGGGTGCAAGCGGAAATCACAGAAAAGACTGGAGAAATGACCAAGAGATGAAATACCATAGGAAAATATAACCCCCTTACAAATTTGTAAATGCCACATATTTCGTTTTGGAATTATGCTGACCAGGATCTACTCAAGGTGGCTTTTAGAGAGATGCAGATGTACATTAAAATAATAGTAGAAATTGTCCTTCCTGGAATGGAAATTCAAACACATGACTGATTTTTTGGCTCAACTCTAATTCTTCTACTTCTGTAGTTAGACGTTTAAATCCTATTAAATCTCCTCCCCAGTACCCCTTAAGAAAAACTACTTTATTCTTCTGTTTGTTTTAAATTGTTAATATCGCTTATTTTTTAAATTGTTGGCAAATTTAAATTAGCTCTTTAGACGACCAGAGCAATTTAAATGATTAAAATCAGTTTTGTTTAGACTTCTTTCAAAATTATATAAATGTTATTTATATTATAATATAATAACAAATTATATTATGGATATATACTGGATAAATGTTATAATATCCAGTAATTTTTTTAAGTATGATGAAGTCACTGAATGAATATAGCTAAAATATGAACAACCTCTATTATATTACACAAACCTTTAGCACCTAGTAATAGGGTCCCTCTTAAACCCAATACACAGCTTTGAATTGAAATGAAAACTTACTTGCAGTTCTGGCACACTTTGCACTCAGGACATTGCCAACCTGCACGTTTTAATGGAGTAACCGCTATATCCAGGCACATTCCATGATAGTGCTGACCACAAGTAGTACAAAAGAACTGATCTAAGAGGTCTCCCGGGCTGTCGCACACTGCACAGTTTGCATCTTCCTTCGCTATAATTAACAGTGAAACAATGAAATTGTTGTATAAGAATTTAAATTTTTTCTGACTATACAGTAAAATCATTTGAAAGGATTTGCATCATGAACCTTTCAGACATTTGAAGTTATTCACATTGAATTGTCATCTAATCAGAAAGAGGTACCAATAAAAACACTGTAGGGTATTTAATCTAAATGTAACCACATTAAATTTAATCGTATAGTTTTGCAATTATTTGTGGCTATATCTACTTGAGACCATAAGCAGGTCTTCTTTAATTTTCTATTCCTAATGCCAATGATAATGCTGGATACCTAATTAATGCTCAATATATGCTTACTGGAAAGAACCAAACAAGGAAAATACAAATTAAGAAATGCTTTGCAGTGTAACATAAACATTTTCTTTGAATGTTAAATATATTTTGAAATTACAAAATCAGATAAGAGACAAAATTAAGAAACATTAATATCAATTAGACTAAGATGCTTCTTAAGCATAAACAGACTATTCAAATCATATAAGGGCTTTTTTTTAATTACTGGAAAATGCCTTATGTGGAAGAACATTAAAGACAGAAGCTACATATTCATACACAAACACATTACTTAATATACTAATTATATATTCATCTATATTAATTTCTAGTTGTAAAAGCATTAAAATCCACATAATTATGGACATCATCCATCCCTAAATGTGGATTAAAAGAAAATGTACTAACAGTTCTTTTACCATATAAAACAGAAAATATAAGGATAAACTGCCCTGCCAAATATACAGTTAAACTTATGCATACTGCAAAATAAGGAAAATAATGTATTCTAAAATCATACCAATCTTAGATAATGTATAAAAAATATGCCTGTATATAACAAGTATCACAAAGTATATGAATCTTTTCATTTTTTGAAGGTTTGATCATTCCTATCTACTATTCTGACTCATACGTTCTTTCTTTTCCAGTCAAGCCTATCATACCAACCTTAGATAATATATATAAATATGCCTGTATTTAACAAGTATCACAAAGTATATGAACCTTTTTTTTTTCCTTTTTTTTTGAGACAGAGTTTCACTCTGTCACCTAGGCTAGAGTGCAATGGCACGATCTCGGCTTACTGTAACCTCCGCCTCCCAGGTTCAAGGGATTCTCATGCCTCAGCCTCCCCAGTAGCTGGGCTTACAGGCGTGTGCCACCATGCCCATCTAATTTTTATATTTTCAGTAGAGACGGTGTTTCGCCACATTGCCCAGGCTGGTCTCAAACTCCTGAGCTCAAGCAATCCTCCTGCCTCAACCTCCCAAAGTGCTGGGATTACAGGTGTGAGCTACCACACTCAGCCTTTTTTCCATTTTGAAGGTTTGGTCAATCCTATCAATTTCTCTCTGACTCACACGTTCTTTCTTTTCCAGTCAAGCATCTTGAAACAGAGTAAAAATATATTTCTTTTATTTGTACCGGAGTCTGCAAACTTTTCCTGAAAAGGGCCAGATAGTAAATATTTTAGGCTTTGTGAGCCATAGCAGTCTCTGACAAAAAGTCAGACTTTTTGTTTTTATTTGCACTCTTTTAAAAATGTAAAAATAATTCCTCGCTTGAGGGCAGTACAAAAACAGGCTTCAAAATGTGGACGCTGGCTGGACCTCTGACGTACTTCATGAAGGCTGGCTTAGCACCTAATACTCATCTGAAGCTACATTAGTGAGGTTGCCAATGCCCATAGGAAACCCGATTGTTACTTTTTAGTCTTTGGCTTTTTGCACTTTGTAGCATTTGCATTGCTAGCCACTCCCACATTAAAACGCCCCTTTCCTTAGTTTCTATCATGGCAACTCTCTCCTAATTTCTCCTTAGTTTTCCCTTACTTTCATCTCATCCTCCTTTGTTGGCTTTTGTACCTATACAATCTTTCTAAATGCTGGAGTTTCTTAGGATTTCATCCTTTTCCTTCTTTCCTAATCCCCCATAGTTTCCCTTTGTGATCACATCAACTCTCATGCCATAAAATGCCACCATGATTCCTAAATCTGTATTATTGGCCCTAGAATTCTTTCATAAACCCCAAACCTTTATTCTTCAAGTCTTACTGGATCTCAATAGCCAGATGTTCTAAAAACACTCAATCTCAACTGCTCTAAAGTGAAACTTTTTTAAAAACCCGAAACATCATCCATTTTTCTCAAGAATAGATAAAGGCAGAAACCTTAGTATCACTGTTCACTCTGAACTCAGCCCTGACCCAACACATCCAGCCAGATCCCAATTCTTATGTATTAAACTTCCTACACATCATTCTTCCTTGTATGTTTATAGTTTAGTCTATCATATTAGGTTGGTGCAAAAGTAACTGCAGTTTTTGACATTACTTTTAATGGCGAAGACTGCAATTACCTTTGTACCTACCTAATACTCTGTCTCGCTAACTGCAGTATCTTCTGCATCAAATCATCTCTACTTATGGTTCTGACATCCTGTCTAAATCATTTTCTGCACATCCAGAACAATCTTTCAAAAATGTAAATCTAATTGTTAACCTCTGTATAAATTAAAACTCCACCAATACCTCATTTTTCACCTAAAAGAAAATCAGAATTTTCAAGTATGAGGCAAAAAGGCCCTTATCTCCCTTTCCAACTGAATCTCAGAACCACTCACTATCTCGTGGTCATGGTGGGTTGTCTGCCATGCACCTCACATAACATGCTATTCATGTCTGTGTGCTTTTACACATTCTGTTCCCTCTGCTTGAAATTTTGTTTTTCTGCTGTGCTCCCAGCCTTCAAAACTCTGCTCATGGCTGGGCACAGACACTCACGCCTGTAATCCCAGCACTCTGGGAGGCCAAAGCAGATGGATCACTTGAGGTCAGGAGCTCGAGACCAGCCGGGCCAACATGGTGAAACCCCATCTCTACTAAAAATACAAAATTAGCAGGGTGTGGTGGCACATGCCTGTAGTCCCAGCTACTCAGGAGGCTGAGGCAGGAGAATCGCTTGAACTCGGGAGGTGGAGGCTGCTGTGACTGGAGTTTGCGCCACTGCACTCCAGCCTGGGGGACAGAGTGAGACCCTGTCTCAAAAAAAAACTCTGCACATTATTTCCTGAATACCTATTACCACACCCAAATACCTTTAGTTGTTGAATATTACTTTTACCCATATGCTTACAAGAAACTTCTGTTACATAATCAATTAATTACAGCACAACTCTGTGAATCCTTGAAGGACAGGGGCCTTAACTTTTTTAACTTTGTATCCCCAACTGCCTAACATGAATCAAGTCTTATTGAACATATTTTAAGTGAAGGACTTACTGCTAAAATCACTTTTAAATGGCTCTTTAAGTGATAGGCATTTAAAATAAATCATTAATCTAACAATGGAAGCATCATAAATTAGTTCATTTTTGATAGAAAGGACATAACTGGGATGTTATGTTTCTTAAGACAGTACCAGTATTTATCTTTCAAAATATGTACATTTAAAAATTGATCTTTTTGCTCACCGTAAAACTTTTAAAAATTGGGGGAAATAATAAACTAATTATCAGATAAACAATTCATTTTTCTATTATACTTTCCTAGGAACACTAAAATGCTTCTGTGAAACTTTCTAGAGTTTGCTCCCCTGACACTTCAAGTTGCCATGGTAGCTACTAGCGACATGTGGTTTCCAAACAAGTGAAATGTAATTAGTTCAAATCGAGGTGTGCAGTAAGCATAAAATGCACACTGGATTCCAAAATCTTAACAGGAGAAAAAGTATCTCAAAATTTGAGATATTACTATTTTGGATTACTGAATTAAATAAAATTTACTACAATTATTCCCAATGTTTCCTTTTACTCAAATTTTTAACATACCCACTAGAAAAATTACTTATGTTGCTCACATTGTATTTATACTGCACAGCACTGTTATACACAACAAAGTTCGCTCTGCAACAAGACAACTGTCATTGTCACAAAAATCACTTTTTAGACTATGATGATTTCCACCAATTCCTTACTGATAACCTTGCTGTGTTCTTTGATTACTATGGATCATTGGTAATAAATTAGTCAAAGAAAAACATCCATGTAATACATACATCTGGTGCAAAAACACTTAATATGCCTTATGTGAAACACAATAATTTTTAAAAGCACTACACAAAGAAATGAGGTTGGTTCCAACCCTCCCAGTCAGGGAGAAGATGTGTGGGAATACTGAAACAACCTTTTGGAGGTCATGTACAAGATTATCGATACTACTGGATAGCTTTGGTGTCATGACAGAAATTAAATATGAATATTTAGACACACATGTCTGTAAGCCAGAGACACTAAGTTTAAAGCAATAATCAACTAAGAAATTTTTCTTTAAACAGTTGAAAAAGCAAAGACAGGCTATAACTAAAGATAATTTAAAAGGGCAGAGGAGTAAATTCCAGGTCTATTTGGATTCTAAGATCAGGCTCTTGACTACTAATCAAATTGACTCCTCAGCAAACTTTACTACTGATCAATGAAAGTGATGAGTATTTGAGTATACACAAAAGTAGACATGAAATGCCAACAGTGGCATAAGATGAAGCTAAATGAAGTAAAGGGAGCAAGGTTCTTATGGCAGGAGAAAAGTGAGAGGAAACAAAATGATCATCTTTAGAGAAGGTCATTTCCTAAAAGACAGCCGTAAAAAGAGAAGAGATAAATAAAAAAGACAAAAACATTGAGCTTAAATTAGAACAGAGCTTATCACAGATCCTTAAACCTGATGAAACTATTACTTAAGAAAATCCAGACAACACATAAGAATAAAAGCATTGGTGAACAGCAACAAAAGTCAAAATAGCTGTCATACAGTGTGAATTTAAGAAGGACCAAATCAGCATTGCTTTCTAATTTCCATCACACCCTATCATCTGCCAATTTTCATCACTGGCAGGACACTGTGCTGAGTGATTTGTCTATAAAAGAGAATCTCTGGGAAGAAAAAATAAATCATGGATGTCATCCAAAGAGGCTAGACCGTATCATTGGCAGGTAGATAAGAAAGGTCAGAGGACTGACAGAATTTAGGGTAAAAGAAAAGCAACAGGACTTAATGTCAAGAAATACAAAGATAACCAAAGAAAAGAGGCTGGAGTTAAAGCTTAAGTGAAGTAAAAGGAATTAAAGCTAAATGATGAGTAAATACATTGAGGAACAGGGGGTGAATTAGGATATGTAGCATTTCCATGTTTAAACCTTGCAAAGACTTCTCATTGCAGACCGAATAGAACCCAAACTCCTTCCCTTGCTTACAAGGCCTACATGATCTAGCCTTTGTTCGCCTTGATGATGTCTCTACTACCCACCTAGTAGGCTACTATGCTCCAAGTAAAATGACATGCTGCCTGTTCATGAATCATGCCAAATCCATTCCTCAAGGTCTGTGTAGTGGTCTGTTCCCTCTCCCTGGAATGTTCTTTCCTCTTATCTTGCATGATTGGCTTTGTGCCATTCAGTTTTCCTATTCAGGAAGTATATCTGGTTGTATCTACTAGATGGATTTTTAGGGTAAAATTTCCAGACAAGGTTAATGTATCCTTGTATCATCATGAAAATAATGTTGCAACAATGACCAGCCATTTACCTATGACAGAGCACCCTAAAAGTGTTTCCTGAAGAAAATCTTGGCCTTCTTCACAGATACTCTCTTTAGTGAATTTCTTTATAATGAGATGCATGCTTTTGTTAAATTTCTCAACTTTTATAAAAAGATGTCAACCTTACTCCTAACTCAGTCAACTATCACAGCTACTGCTCTGCCCCTTAGGAAGCAACAGAAAATACATATACTCAATATGTATTATCATTCTCATAACTTAATCCTTAGATAGGAGGTAAAATAACTACCCTTTTTAAAGCAATTAATACATACAAGGCACAATGTTATGTGAATTCCATTCATTGTTTTCATTTAACCCTCATAATAACACTATGATTTAAGACAGTATCATTTTAAAAGCATAAAAATTAACTTCTGCCATGACACACAATTAGGATAGGAAAAAATATTTATAAAACATGTTAAAAAGGTGACAAAACATCCTATCTGCAATATTCTTTAAATTATATCCTTGGTACTTAATCCAAGATTATGATCGTCTTAACAGATGGGTCAGAACGCTGTGTAGTTAGAATGCACTGCTTAAGATCCCCAAGGAGGCCGGGCACGATGGCTCACACCTCTGTATCCCAGCACTTTGGGAGGCTGAGACGGGCAGATCACGAGGTCAGGAGTTCGAGACGAATCTAGCCAACACAGTGAAACCCTGTCTCTACTAAAAATACAAAAAATTAGCCGGGTGTGATGGTATGCGCCTGTAATCCCAGCTACTTGGGAGGCTGAGGCAGGAGAAATCGCATGAACCTGGAAGGCGGAGTTTGCAGTGAGCCAAGGCCATGCCACTGCATTCCAGCCAGAGTGACAGTGCGAGACTCCATCTCAAAAAAAAAAAAAAAAAAAAAACCCCAAAGAAATCTAATTTAGTCATTTAGGCCTTGATTTTACACCACCGACTTAGTTTGAAGGCTGCTATAAGAAACAGCCCTATGAAACTGATATTTTTCTACTGCAAGGTGGCTACTTTAAGATAATTTTTCATTGCATTGTATCAAGTGATGTCTTGTTATTATTATATCATTATATCAAGTGACGTCTTGTTATAAATAGTAAGAATCAGATTAAGGGCTCATATTTCCTTCTTTGTATTGACTGCTGAAAAGGTATGGGGCCAAATTTGTGGTTACGTCTGGAGTTATATATTTTTGGGGGGGGTCTCTCTATTACCTTCATATTTATCCTATCTAAATTTTCCATTGCCAAATTTCCTTACTTTAGTTTTATCCTATTGCTCATGTATTTTTATGAGTCTCCATAAGTCTATTTTGGAAAAAGGCAGAGTACTCATAATTTTAGTGTATCTTTTAGCTTTATGTTGCCATAAACCTTTCATTATATACATGATCAACAACAGCATATTATCTCACCTCAGTATTTATTATTTTACAAACTGATTTATGATTGCTAACATGTAACTGAAGGTATACACTGTTAGAACACAGTTTTCAGTAGAAAGTAGCACTGCCATTAAGTAATAAAATATTCTAACACTACAACAACATTCTTGTAAAAGTTTGCATGTTGTTTGCTGAGGTCTAAAGCATGATTAACTACAAAAGGCTGAATAAAATTCAGATTCCTATATACACACAAAATTGTTTTATTGAGATGACAAAGTATATTTATTATGCCACCCAGAATATAATCCACTCTGATAACTGCCAGTTTATGCACTTGCTGAAGTAACTCAGTACATAAATAGTAGCCGTAACAGTTGCAGTGCATGAAGTTCTTCTCTTCCAGATTGAAGAGTGTACAATCTAACGCATTTTAAAACTTTAAATCCCTTATTAGCCTAAATATAATTTAAAATTCTAGTTTGCCTTACCTATAATTTGTACACTAGGTTACTAATGGTGATATGATTACATATGTGGACACAAAATAATTTTAATGGAAAATGAAATTATGGTACTCAACAAAGAAAAGGGTAATGATCATGTAGACTAACTGTATTTGAGATTAGTTTAAGCCTGGGGTAGCTATACTTACGTTTCACAGACCTGGAGAAGATAGGAAAAAAGCTTTTATTAACATTGCTAAGGAACAGATAAAAGCTAACATTAGGTAACTAAGAGGTGACATAAAAAAGATTGAATAAAATATCATGGAGGTTTCATAATGAGATTGGAAATTCAATAGACTAGGAGAAAAAAGATCCCAAAACATATATGCTCATAGGGAAAACACATAGTAAGAAAAAGGAGAGATCTCTATTTAATGATACAATAGTAAAGAGTTATAATTTCCTGTATAATGTAAATTTCACGCATTTAAACATTTTCATTGAATTATAAAATACTATTTGGAAAAGAAAAACAGCACAACTGCAGATTACAGAAGACTAAGATAGATGAATCATGAAAAGGTACTAGCAGAGATTTCTATTATACCTATCAGGGAAACACAATTTCTAAGAATTTCAGAAGTCTTTGGTGTTCTTATTAACGTAAATCCTGAAATAACACCTGAGTGAACTGTCTTCTAATTCTTCAACTGGATGGCTTTTTAGTGTTGATTGACTTTTTAATAAATTATTTTATAGTATAAATCAGAAATACTGCATAGTCCCTATTTACATCTTTCTACAGTGGTTTTTAAAATGTTTTAAGAATAAAAACCATGCAAACTTTATTTGATTTTTCTGAGGAAATAACTTTTTGGATTTAATTTCAATGAAACCACTGATAACATTTCCCTCCCCAGCGATCCCTGGCAACGATCCCTCAGATTTTAAAGATTATGTATTATTACCTTTTAATACAAGTAGAATAACACTCAGGGAATTTACAACATTTGTTATTTTCAGTAAATACATTGGTTGAAGTTTAAAAGTCTATCCGTAGTAAACTTACATCTTTCAGGAGCTTGGTCAATGTGTTCTGGACAAAGCAGGAAGATGTGACTGAAATCCTGAAAGGTGCCGGCTCCTGCAGCACAAGGATAATGATACATCTGGGTACATTTCTCTTCACAGCATTTGATAGTGGCTCCAAGGTGCTTACAAAATGCACATCGCTGAAAGGGGTAAAGGAGAGAAATCTCTTTATAAAACCTTGAAAAGGAATATTCAAATATAAGCTGGGAAGGTATAAAAAACTCTCTGTATATCACAAGTAAAACAAATTGAACCTGCAAAATATTAAACAAAGGATTCGTTAAAAATAATAAAATCTACATTACTCAATTTAGCGCTTCGTGTGCTACCAACTCATCCTTCCATTCAAATTAGAAAGTTAGAATTTCATTCCTTATATTTTCAAAAATAAATTTTGAAGCATTTTTGAAACAAAACCTAAAGATTTTTTTTTAAAGCAAATAGTAATATGGTTAAAAGGGCAGGTTTCTATATTGAGGATTATTATAAAGTTTTTAAATCCCACCAAAACTAGTAATAGGAACATATATTTTATTTATGAGACATATTACTATTTTTTACCCTGCCTAAAAATAAATACAAAATAAACTCATCAATTGTAAGTTAACAGGGACACAAATGGTTAAAGACTCACAGAAAAAAACACAAAACTACATACTTCAATGTAGCAATCAACTTCAAATTTCTTAACAAAAGATGGAAATGTGGGCGAAAAAAAATTAGTCATCTGGTATCTTTCCCATTTCAACCTGCCTCCATTATCTTGCAAGTGGTAAAACGCACAGAAATAAGCCCCAAACAAGAGGGGCAGTCTAGGGCAAGTGAACACATAAGAAGTCAGAAGAAATTATGTAAAATGTTGCATTTACTTATTCAGTTTTCCCTTAGAATGATTCACAAACTCTTCCTCATTCTCCCAAGTCCACTTTGAGCATCATTTTCTTTGAAGAGAGTTTGATGGGCCCTGTACTATACAGTATGACATCTCTCTGTGGGAAATGACTATCTAACATAAATTTTTGTTTACACCATTACATGGTACTTACTTGCTTATGCCATTACATGATCAGTTTATCTTTTCCTCATCCTAGTCCAAGATCCTTCAATTGAGGCACCATACTATCTTTGTATCCAAAGCACCAAAAATGCTGCTTGAAACAGGCCCTAATAGAAAGGTGTTCCTATACATATACCAAAAAGACTTAACTTTTGGTGATCTTTTTTGTGAGTGTGGCTCATAAACAGCTTAGCTGAGATAACTGGAGCCTCATGTAACACAGACAGTTGGACCCTGCTAACATTACTGTGGATATCTTCACATGTTACTACACTGACTTTATATTCTGCTAATTAACCAGGGACTACAGTAGTTAAAATTATAATTGTTTTCAATGTTTTATGTGTAAATCTGTATATCACATACTATCAAACTCTTCCTCACTGTCATCAGTCTACTGCACTGAATCAACATAACAAAGCTAAGTGACTCCTGAGGGCTGAATCAGAAAGAAGAAAAGAAAGAGATACAAAAATTTGGCTGGGCCGGGTGGCTCACACCTGTAATCCCGGCACTTTGGAAGGCCAAGGCGGGTGGATCACGAGGTCAGGAGATCGAGACCATCCTGGCTAACACAGTGAAACTCCATCTCTACTAAAAATACAAAAAATTAGCCAGACGTGGTGGCGGGCGCCTGTAGTCCCAGCTACTTGGGAGGCTGAAGCAGGAGAAGCTTCTAAATAACTCATAAACAGTAATTACTGTTGTGACACTTTAATTTTATATAATATTATAAGTATACAGAATAACATTTCAGTGCTATTTTGGCACTCAAGGGTATTAATGCATTAGAAACACAGAAAATAAATATTTTTCTTCATTGATAAAGTGTAATAACCAGCTTTTACAAAACAGGTAATTTTTTATAACTCCCAAGGTATCTAAATATGTTTAGTGCATTAACAGAACCCAGAATTAACTACAAATACAACACCTCGGTAGTCTAAATGTCTGAATAGAAAGACCACGTAAATGTCGAAAGGAAAAGTACAATCAATCTGTTGAAAAATGTTTATAACAACTCATTAACATAACTAATTTCTGCTAAATTGTTAAAATCTAAAATCGCTTATTTTGATACCATATGGCAAGTTTTGCAGAAGCCTTTTACACTAAAAATAATCTTGGCAGATAAAATATAATGAGAGGTAAGTATATAATAACAGAAAGTAATTTAAATTGACCAGCTTCTCAATGTCTTTCTCATTTTAGAAACACCAATATGTTCTCTTAATCATATCTGCAATGAAAAATATTATATTAGCTAAACTACTATGAGAAGTACTGGAATATATCTAACATACTAATTTACAATATCATATAAAGATATCAGTGAATAAAAGAAGGAAAATAAAACACTACATTTAGGAGAACGCTTCAAACCCATCTGTTACAATTAAATAGCTAATGAAGAGCACTCGGCATTAAAAGAAAATGTTTACTATATATACACAGTCTGGAATGTATCTTCCTAAACCAAGTAAAAAGTACTTGTAAAATCGTAGACAATATCAAAGAATGGATTTCCACAGGGAACTTCTCAAATGTCAACACTCTTATACACTACACATAAAAGAAATCAAGCAAGTTAAAATATTAATAATACAATAAGTAATATATAATACATAAGTAACAATTACGAAGCTAATTAACATTTGGGGAGGAGGGATAAAGTAAACAGCTCTTGGCCGGGCATGGTGGCTCATGCTTTTAATCCCAGCACTTTGGGAGGCTGAGGCAGGTGGATCATTTGAGCTCAGGAGTTAGAAACCAGCCTGGGCAACATGGTGAAACTCCATCTCTACAAAAAATACAATAATTAGGTGGGCATGGTGGCATGCACCTATAGTCCCAGCTACTCACGAGCCTGGGGTGGGAAAACTGCTTGAGCCCAGGAGGTTGAGGCTGCAGTGAGCTGTGATCACGCTACTGCACTCTAGCCTGGGAAACAAAAGTGAGAACCAGTCTATAAAATTCAAAAAAAAAAAGGCCCTTAAATGGTGTATCAACTAAATGGTTTATTTGAATCAATAATGAAAATTCCTAGACAGCATTTTTTCTTTTTACTTTTATTCATCATTAAAAAGACAGGGAGTAAGAAAAGGAAAAAAGTAACATGTTATAATAATATTTTCCCATATTAATCCAAGAACACAATAACAACAACAACAAAAACTCAGTGAGAACTCGTATTACCAATTTTAAGAATGAGTCTGAGGAATTTTCAAGACTTTTATTTAATAGTTTGAAATAATCTGTCAAAATGTATCCATAAAACAAAACAGAATGAACAAAATTTGAGATTAAAGTTGTATCATAAAAAAATACCAAGAAGTTAAATATTCCACAGTTCATTTAATTAATTATCCAGTATTTATTCTGTACCAACTATAGCAATGGTTTTAGGCTACGTGCTCTAATAAATAAGTATTATAAGGCTCCCCATGCTCCAAATTTGTTTTTAATCTTCACCAGTCTTTTTTTAGTATTAGGCAACTAGGATTCTCCCAGGATGCAGTAATAAAGAACAAAGATGGAAAGTAAGAGAAAGAGGTAGAATGACATGAAAATCTGATCCAGAAGGTGCAATGTCTGTTTTATATGAGTACCAGAATGGGAGAAAATGGGAGGGATTATAATCACCAAAATTCTAAAGGAAAAGTTATGTAAATATCTAATAATAAAAGCTAACATTTAATTAAGCATAATCCTCATTCAACAGATGAGGAACCTAAAACCGAAAGAGTCATTATCACTGTTCCACTTATTTCTATATCCTTACAAAAATACCCACTCTTGATCTGTAACAATGTCTCCTTAAACTCCCTGAATGGCAGCTTCAGGTAAAAACTTCCCAGAAACTTTGAAATAACAAGGATAAAAGGAAAATTCTTGGAGCCACATAAAAAAGAAAACAGATCATTACAAAAAAAGAAGAATCGGGCATCAGTTCTCATTATCAATACTGAATTAAAAAGAAACCCAAAAAAAATCATTATTTTTCTAGGCCTATAAAAAATTATTTAAAACCAAAATTTTAATGTCTGTTAAGCTAACATTCAAGTCCATGGATAACAAATGTAAATAGGTTAAATTCTCTAGTAAAAGATAGCAACTTTCAAAACATGCAAAATATACTACATAACACATATACATATTTTACATATTACTACAGACTTCATTTATGTATGTGTGTGTGTGTACACATATATAATATGAAATAAATGAAATACTTTGGATATTTGTCCCCGCCAAAATTTCATGTTGAAATGTAATCCCCAATGTTGGAGGTGGGGCCTTATGGGAGGTGTTTGGGTCATGGGGGCAAATCCCTCATGGCTTGGTGCTGTCCTTGCGATAACGAGTGAGTTCTCACAAGATCTGGCTGTTCAAAAGTGTATGGCATCTCCACCCCTCTCCTTTGCTCCTGTTCTGGCTATGTGAGATGCCTGCTCCCCCTTCTCCTTCAACCATGATTTCAAACTTTTTTTTTTTAATTTATATTTATTTTTTTGAGACAGAGTTTCACTCTGTTGCCCAGGCTGGAGTGCAGTGGCCTGATCTCGGCTCACTGCAACCTCTGCCCCGCAGGTTCAAGCGATTCTCCTGCCTCAGTCTCCCAAGTAGCTGGGATTACAGGCACCTGCCACCGCGCCTGGCTAAATGATTTCAAACTTCTTGAAGCCCTCACCAGAAGCAGATGCCAGCACCACACTTCCTGTACTGTCTGCAGAATCGTGAGCCAATTAAACCTCTTTTTGTTATCAATTACCCAGCAACAGGTATTTCTTTACAGCAACACAGGAGCAGCTATATATATGCACAATGCACAGTGACATACACAATTCAAAAACAGACTTGAGGGGAAAAAACACAAACGCTAACCAAAAAATGCAGGTATAGCAATAATTGCAAAGAAATAGAATTTAAACTAAAAAGCAGTGAACAAGTCAAAGATAATATTTCATAATAACCTAAGTTTTATGTTACAGTGTAAATTCCAAAAGAAGCCATAGTCATTAAAGTTTATACACCTAATAAATATATGTCACATATAAAAAGTAAAGCTGAGTAGAAATAACATGCATAGATTAGACTTTAACATAGCTCTCAAATCAGGATATTAAGTAGATATGAAATAAATAATAACAATGATCGGGTTTGATTCAAACAGACACATAAAATACACACAGATCTCTGTATTCCAAAAATAGAGAAAACATTCTATTCAAATATACATAGAATTTTCAAAAAAAAATCCACATGTATGGTCGTAAAGAAATGTCCACATATTTTAAAAAGCAGGTATTTCCTAGGTTATATTCAGTAAAAGCAGATGTGTCCCTAGACCTAATACAATAAAAATTAGAAATTCACAATATAAGGATAAAGTCCCAAATCTATCCACTGGCAAAATTTAAAAGTCCTTTCTATATAACGGCAGAGTTTCAATCAAGAAGAAAAATCATGTATTATTTTTAAATGATTAAGAAACATCAAAAAAATCTCTGAGACGTGGCAAATGTGGTCTTCAGAGGAAAACATATAGCTTCAAACATGCAAAACTATAAGACTAAAGAATTAAAATAAATAATGCCCAATTCAAAAATTAAGCCAATAAGAATCAACATATAATCCATGAGATTCACAATCTAGGGAAGTAAACCCACCCTAATACTGTGTTTATTAAAATGCTGTTAATGAGATCCGAGGTTTAAACAACTGTTCACTTTAGAAAATGAAATAAAGCTGACTGAAATAAAACCTAATCTATGAAATTATTCTGTATATGAATTGACCTGAAGTAATGAACAGTTCATTGACTGACTCATAACTCTTGTTCTGGTCCAGGCTAATCATTCTAGTTGGCATACTATTAAACACACATTTCTGATTGAAACATCTGCTAAAAAAAATAACATCAAACGACATTACAAAATCAAAATGGAGACTGCTAAGAGTGGGATTTTTCTCCTGCCAGTACCTTTCCTTTCTGCCACATTCTCCTCCCTGCTGCCACAGTAATCTTTCTGAAGGAATACAAATATATTCTGAATCACACGCAAACCCCTCAATACAGAATGTGTGGTAGGCAGTATTCTAAAATGCCCGCATACCACCGACCCCACCAAATTTCCTACCCTAATACAGAGGCTGTAAATATGATGAAATATCATGGCAAGGATAATGCCATTAATATATTATATGGCAAAGGAATTCTGCAGATGTGATTAAAGCCACCAATCAACTGCCTTTGAATTAATCAAAAGGGAGATTTGCCTAATCTAATCAAATAACCTCTTTGAAAGCGGAGTTTTCTCCAGCTAGTAGCAAAAGGGAAATTCATAGCAAGGGAACATTTCAATACACTGTTGCTATCTTTGAAGATAAAAAGAGCCACGAGGAAAAACCAAAGAGTGGCCTCTAGGAACTGAGAGTGACCCAAGCCAATAGGCAGTAAGAAAATGGTGAGCTCAGCAGGGTGCGGTGGCTCATGCCTGTAATCCCAGCACTTTGGAAGGCCAAGGCAGGCGGATCACGAGGTCATGAGATCAAGACCATCCTGGCTAACACGGTAAAACCCCGTCTCTACTAAAAATAAAAATAAAAAAAAAAAATTAGCCGGCGTGGTGGCGCACGCCTGTAATCCCGGCCACCTGGGAGGCTGAGGCACGAGAATCACTTGAACCCGGGAGGCAGAGGTTGCAGTGAGCCGAGACTGCACCACTGCACTCCAGCCTGGGCGGCAGATCAAGAAAGAAAGAAAGAAAATGGCGAGCTCAGCCCTACAACTGCATAGAACTGAATTCCTCCCACACCTGAATGCACCTAGAAGAGGATTCACCCCCAGAGCTTCCACCCAGGTAACACCTTGATTTGAATCTTGTGAGACCTTAAACAGAGAGCACAGGTGAGCCTACCCTGAGTTCTGACCTAAGTAAATGGATGCTGTTTTAAGATATTAAGTTTATGGTAATTGCTTTATTGTAACAGATAACAAACAGAGCAGCATTTCAAGGCCCTCCATGCTTTGGTCTCTGCCAAATCACTATTACATTTTTAAGATTTTTTTTTAAACATTATACTTACATTACACAATGTCTTAACACTATGAAGTAAAAATGTAAATATTTTAAACTCTGGCTTGGAAATGAGGAGGCAGAATCTCAGATATTTTCCTAAAAAAATAGGAGAGGCAAGCTTTCTGAGTCCACAAAAGTGCCCTCTACCTATTGGGTCAAAGAAAAAGTAATCTCTCTATTTGTAACAACATACATAAATTATAAACCCTGAAGAAATAGGTCCCTAATAGCTATAATCTTTAACATAACCATAAATAAAAACATGAATAAATCTGACTACATAGAAATGTAAAAACTTCTATGTGGTGAGAACACACATTACAGAAAAAAAATCAAGTGACAAAAAATAACCTCCAATTTGAATTACAAATATCTAGTATCCTGGATATATACAAATAAAGCATGTAAGTTATAAAAATGAGTATAATTTTAAAATAGACAAGGATAGTTTATAGAATTTCATAATTTAAGGAAGACATAAGTTAGCCAATAAACTATGGGTAATATGCAAGAATCAGTAAGCATTATTATTTGCCAGCAGCTAAGCCAAGTACTTTATAAGAATTACTTTATTCCCATCTACGCCAGGCACAGTGGCTCACGCATGTAATCCCAACACTTTGGAAGGCAGAGGTAGGTGGATCACCTGAGGTCAGGAGTTTGAGACCATCCTGGCCAACATGGTGAGACCCCGTTTCTATTAAAAATACAAAAATTAGCTGGGCCTGGTGGCAGGCGCCTGTAATCCCAGCTACTTGGAAGGCTGAGGCAGGAGAATCAGTTGAACCCAGGAGGTAGAGGTTGCAGTGAGCCAAGATCGCGCCACTGCACTCCAGCCTGGGCAACAGAGTGAGACTCCATCTCAAAAACAAAAACAAAAAAAAAAAGAAATTACTTTATTCCCATCTAACCACCACCATTTCAGGTAGATATTACTATTTTTCATTTTACAAATGAAGCAGAGAGGTTAAATATCCTTGTTCAAGCCCAATGAGTCAGGAAATGAAAGGAACTGAACTCAAGGAGTTCATAATTAGTTATATACAAGTAATAAAGACAAATTCATCGACTATGGAAATGTACTAAGTACTTTGTCTTGTTTACGTAATGGTTTTTATTTAGGTTGTAAGAAAATAACATATGGACAGGCACGGTGGCTCGTGCATGTAATCCCAGCACTTTGGGAGGCCAAGGCAGGCGGATCACTTGAGACCAGGAGTTCGAGACCAACCTGGCCAACATGGTGAAACCCCATTTCTACCAAAAAAAAAATACAAAAATTAGCCAGGCGTGGTGGTGCACGCCTGTAATCCTAGCTACTCGAGAGACTGAGGCAGGAGAATCGCTTGAACCCAAGAGGTGGAGGCTGCAGTGAGCCAAGATTGCGCCACTGCACTCCAGCCTGGGTGACAGAGCTGGACCTTGTCTCAAAAAAAAAAAAAAGAAAGAAAGAAAAGAAAGTAGCCACTTTGGGGTTAGAATCCATAAAATACTCTCAGTGTCAACCAAAAGAAATGTACTGCAATGTTCATAGAACACAATTCATAATGACCTCAAATTGAAAGTCCTCAAAATGCCCAACGGTAAAATAAATAAATTATAGTACTCTTAACAACAGAATACTATACATCAATGAGAAAAATAAACGACTGGAAGGAACAATTTGGATTTATCTCACAAATATATACATGAAAGATGACAGAAAACAGTACTTAGTAGCCAATTATACAAAGTACAAAGCCAATTACACAAAGTACAAACATAGGCAAGACTCACCTATGTTGTTACTAGATGATAGTGCATGTCTTTGGGGAGTTAGGAATAGTAACCAACAGGAGGCTGAATGGAATTTCTGGGGCGCTATTATTTGTTTCCTGATGTGATTTTAGTATATACGTTCTAATATTTGGGGTATTCCTAGAAATGTGTACCTATTATTCACTTGCTATATATATAGCAAAGTGAATTTTATATATAATTCTTCAACATATTTTTAGAAAAATTAAGTTTTTTCTAGAAAATTAAGAGAATTTTAGATAAAAACTCAACTTTTAATGGAAAATATTTTCCTTTTTCTTTCTCACATGAAATTCTATATCAAGGTTAGTATCCTACCTGGTATCTCTCCAATAGTGGGTTAAGAGTTTGTTTTCTTCTCAAGTAACCTGTATTATATTAAGATGATATTAACTGAAATAATCAGATAGATGAATGCGCCATAAAGCTAATTCTAAGATATCTGTCCTTAGCCAAAAGCAGAAAAGGGATACACATAACTTCCACATAAAACATCCACCCCCATTTTTTTGGTTATTCTTAAAAGCTCATAATGTATACAATGATAAAATTTATTGTTTCAAATTAGGGTTTTTGAAATTGAAATATTAATTTAAACACGTTTGCTTAACACAACTTTAAAGTTAATAAGAAAACACTGCCTATTACAGAAGAGTTAAATACTTCAAAAAGTGGGAAAAAATTTAAAAGCTTTCATTTTAGTAGGAGTAAACACAGACACAGTAAGAATCAAGTTAGTTGGATACACTTAAATCATGTCTTTTAAGAACATGAGAACAGATTATTTGCTTTCTCTTTAGTCCAAAACCTGGGTGTAATTTTAGTCCAAATTTGAAACTAACAGAAGAATACTCAGCTTCTTAAAAGTTTTATTTCAAGAACAGTAAAAGAACTTCTGGTCTTACAAACATTACACAGATAAAACGAGTTTCTCCAAACAGATGTATGTAAAAATCTAGTACATATACCCCCAAGGTGAGTCAATAAGGTGAACCAGATTCTGGTTGAATGGAATCCTTGAAACATAACTTTGGTGAACAAACTGTTTGTGTTTTCCACTTTTCTTAAAAAAGAAGTGATAAAGCAGATTTCCAGTACCTGCCAACTGATAAAATGCTACTTACCAGGTAAAAACCACTACCAAAAATCAGAATCACAGAAGGGCTATCAGTAAAATTACTAATGCCACAAATTAACATGATGTTAACTGCTGAATTATGCATCAAAAGAGTATTTATATAATCACAGCAAATAACTCAAATCTTTTACATCACTAGTAAACTCAAAAAAAGATAGAAAAAAGCAATAACATTAAATTTCCTTATTGATCTACTAGCTTTAACTATTTAATACTAGTACACTTAGTTTTGATTACTTTGAAATTGAAACAAAAACAATAATCTTTTCTTCTTTTAATGACTTTTTCAGTTATAGGAAAGATGATATTAAAAGAAAATATACAACTATAGCTTAGCTACAGGTATAAAACTGTTTTAAAGATATGTAATTGTGCTATTGAATTAAACTGAAAACATAAATATCAACTCATGATTTTGAAAAAAAATCTTTATGTTTGGTTTTGGTAAAAGGAGAGACAAATAAGTCAGAAAAACAGAAAATACAGAAATAGACTCACTTTTCCATATTCAATTAATTTTTGACCAAGGGGCCAAGATAATCCAAGAGAGCAATAAATAGTCTTTTAGAATGATGCTGGAACTGCTAAATAATCCGTATGGAAAACAAAGAAACATGAATCTTATCTCAAATTCTTTTATCATATGTGTAATTTAACCATAAATGGATTTTTTAAACCTACAACTAACACTGGGGCAAGCAAAGATTTTTTAATAAAGCATAAACAGCATAATTTTTTCAACTTCCAAAAAATTAACAAATGACCAATGTCATCAAAATTAAACCCTCTGCTGTTCAATAAACATTGCTAAATAAATGAAAACAAGTCACACATTAGGCAAAAATATTTATAAAATGCATCTCCAAAACTGACTTCTGTGAATAATATATAAAAAAACTCTTACAACTCAAGAAGATGACAAGTAAATCAATTGGAAAAAAATGGTAGAGACAAAATAACAGACATGTCACCAAAGATACACAAATGGCAAAAAAAGACATAAAAAGAGGCTCAATCTAATTAATCATCAGGGAATGCAAAATCAAACCCACAATAAATTATCACTAAATGCCAACCAGATGGCTAAAATTTAGAAACAGTGGCAATATCCAGTGCTGGCAACAATGTACAGCAAATGGAACTCTCAGATCTCTAGAAACGGAGAAGTATACAGACACTTAAGAAACTGTGAAACTGTTTTCCAAAGTTAAGAATATATTTCCAACAAGTCAGAAATTCCAGTCCTAGGTATTTACCCAAGAAACATGAAAAGATACATCCACAACGAAGCATGTTACATAAATGCTCACAGCAGCTTTATATACTGGCCAAAAATTGAACGAAACTTAACTGTAAGCTAGTGAATGGACCAATCTCAAAACCATTATGCTAAGTAAAAAAAGGCAGACAGAAAAGATTCTATACTGTATGGTTCCATTCATATATTAGTCTAGAAAAGGCAAAACTATAGGAAAGCAACAGATCGGTGATTGGCAGGAGCTGGAGTGGGAGGTAGGCAGTAACTTCAAAAGGTCATGAGTGAATTTATGGGTAAAGGGTCTATTCTGTATCTTGACTATGATGGTAATTACATGACTGTTCATATTTACCAAATCACATTCAATACACACCTTAGAAAGGGTGAATTATAGCGTATGCAAAATATACCTTAACAAAACAATGGCTCTCACACATAAATTTATTTATTTATTGGGTAACAGCATAGGGACTAATATCAGAGTAACTTTCCTAAAATGTCTCAAATCTGAAGAAAACGTAAAAGCTAACTAATTGAAGTTACCTGTAAATAACCAAAAACTGGCTGGAATGGGAGGACATTATACCCTTGGAAAAAAAGCAGAATATCATTGGCTAAAATCTATATTTAAATAGAGTTTCAGTCTGGGCGCGATGGCTCCTGCCTGTAATCCCAGCACTCTGGAAGGCCAAGGAAGGTGGACCACCTAAGGCCAGGATTTTGAGAGCAGCCTAGCCAACATGGCGAAACCCCATCTCTACTAAAAATACAAAAATTAGCTGGGTGTGGTGGTGGGCACCTATAATCCCAGCTACTTGAGAGGCTGAGGCACAAGAATCGCTTGAACCTGGGAGGTGGAGGTGGCTGTAAGCCGAGATCGCGCCATTGCACTCCAGCCTGGGAGACAAAGACCCTGTCTCAAAAGAAAAGAAAAGAAAATTCTACAACTAATAA
Source organism: Homo sapiens (assembly GCF_000001405.40). Taxonomy (NCBI): domain Eukaryota; kingdom Metazoa; phylum Chordata; class Mammalia; order Primates; family Hominidae; genus Homo; species Homo sapiens. Next base: position 152,286,015 of record NC_000007.14, read on the forward strand.
GTATGGTAATTTCAATGAAAATTTTAGTGGATGGGCTTAACAAGAGATTGGTAGAAAATTGGTCCATCTCCTTGAAAATACATGAATAGTGTATCTATTCTGAGGAACTAAAAGTAAAAACACTGGGAAGAAAACGAACAGACCCTCAGTAATCTACAAAATATCAAATATACTAACATTCATGTAATTAGAGTTACAGAGGAAGAGGAGAGAGAAATGAGACAGAAAAAGAATAAGAAATAAAAGTCAAGCTTTTCACAAATTTGGTGAAAAATATCAACTTACAGTTTCAAGAAGCTCAGCAACCCCCAAGCAGGATGAATACAAAGAAAACCACACCTAGGCACATCATAGTCAGACTGCTGAAAACCAAAGATAAAGAGAAAATCCTGAAAGCAGCCAGAGAATATCAAAACATTATTATATACATGGGAATAATGATACTACTGACACCACACCTGACTTCTCATTAGAAACCATGGAAGACAGGAAACAATGCAACATCTTTTAAATGCTTGAAGAAGAAAAACATAATCATCCCAGAACTCTGTATTCAGGGAAAAACAGCAAAAATGAATGCAGACTTCCACTTCCAGACAAAATGCAGAAAATGTACTTTTCCCTGTTCTTTCCACTAAATACAGCTTTAAAAACCCTTAGCCGTGATACATAAGACAAACAAAAGAAGACAACAAAATGTAGAGAGAGGGCAGACCAATTAGGGCTTCAGGAGCCAAGAAACAAAAGAGGATGAATTCCCTAGGTTTCCTTTCTGACTCATATATACAAGAAAAGTTGCTAGAGAAGCAGACAACTCAGAAACACCAACAGGCACACACATACGTAAAACTCCAAGAAAATTCTGCTGTCTTTTGTCAAAAAAGCAGGGAAGCGGCAGGCTACCAAGACAAAAAACTCATAGACAACAACAAACCAGTTTAAGCCAAATGGTACAAATAAAAGCCCAAGCCATATACCTTTTGCAAAGACTTAAAAGGAGGACATAGTCAGCCATTCCCCACTCCTGCCCACGGACAACATGATACCACAGCAGGCCAACTGGGACACAGGACATTCATACCCACTGAGCAGTAACGCGGCTTCCTCCCTCTAGAGTGTGGGTGGAAAAAAAGTGGGGAGCCTGAGTTCAACACCCACCCAGTGATAAGGACATATCCCTATCCCTCCCTCTACAGAGATATGACAGGAGAGGCCTATTGGAGAATCCAAACTCAAAGCACTGCCCAGTGATAACTTAACCACCCCTCCATCCCATTCAGTGGAGGCCAAGTGAAAAGCAGGAACCTTTTGAGCCAGGGTGGTATTCACAAAGGTGTAATGCAAGTCCAGAGTTTTCACTCCTACTCAGCATTTACTAGGTGTACGTCTCCATCAATGAGTCAACAAAGGCCTACTAAGGAACTGGAATCTTCACATACACCTGGGAGTAGTAACAAGGCTGTGCCCCACCTCCACCCCAAAAGCAAAGTTTCAGATAAATCCTACTAAAAGGGGGTATTTAAATAAAATGCAGAGCTTCATAACACAACACTTAAAATGCAAAGGATTCAACCAAATATAACATGTTATACCATACTAAGAACCAGGAAAATCTGAACAGGAATTTGAAAATATAGTCAAAAGGTGCAAACAATGAGAATTCATAGATGTCATAATTATCTATCAAAGATTTTAAACTATATAACACTGCTTCAACAAGCAATTACAGCCGGACACAGTGGCTCACGCCTGCAATCCCAGCACTTTGGGAGGCAGAGGTGGTTGGATCACTTGAGGTCAGGAGTTCGAGACCAGCCTGGCCAACATCATGAAACCCCATCTCTACTAAAAATACAAAAATTAGCCAGGCATGGTGGTGCACGCCTGTGATTCCAGCTACTCAGGAGGCTGAGGCATGAGAATCACTTAAACCCAGGAAGCAGAGGTTGCAGTGAGCTGAGATCATTTACTGCATTCCAACCTGGGCAACAGAGCAAGAGTCTGCCTCAAAAAAAAAAAAAAAAAAAAAAAGCAATTACAAACATACTTTTGAAACAAAGGAAACAATACAAAGTTTTGCAAAGAAATCAAGAAAGAAACAAATACCAAGTTGAAAACTAAAAAATATGCTAACAAAAATAAAATACAAACTAAGCTGAACAACAAAATGGGAGAGATTACCCAACCTAAACAAGAGAAGAAAATGAACTGATTTAAAAAAAAAAAAAAAAAAAAGTGGCCAGGTGCGGTCGCTCAGGCCTGTAATCCTAGCATTTTGGGAGGCCGAGATGGGTGGATCACCTGAGGTGAGGAGTTCAAGACCAGCCTGGCCAACATGGCAAAACCCTGTCTCTACTAAAAATACAAAAATTAGCTGGGCATGGTGGCACACACCTATAATTCCAGCGACTCAGGAGGCTGAGGCAGGAGAATCACTTAGACCCAGGGGCGGAGTTTGCAGTGAGCTGAGATCGTACCACTTCACTCCAGCCTGGGCAAAAGAGCAAAACTCTGACAATAAATAAATAAATAAATAAATATTTTTTTTTTAAAAAAGACATTAAAGACACTTGTGGGACTATAATAAGTGATGCAACATTCCTGTCACTGGAATCTCAGAAAAGGAACATGACGCAGCTGAACAATTATTCGAAGACCCACAGATTCAAGAAATTGAATAAATCCTAAGAGGATACACACAAATAAATCAATGCTAATATATATCATAAACTTCTGAAAACTAATGACTAAACTAAAAAACCCTGAGATAAATAAGAGAAATGACACCTTATCCACAGATGAAAAACAACTCAAATGACAGCAGATTTCTCACCTGAAACCATGGAGGCCAGAACAAAGCAGCATAACATTTTTGCAAGTCCTAAAAGAACTGACAACAAAGAATTCTATATCCAGCAAAAACATCCATTAGTAATGAAAGGGAAATCAAGAAATTGTGAGATGAATGAGAACTAAAAATTAGTCATGAGACAAAACTACACCAAAAGAATAGTGAGAAAAGTTATTGAACCAGAAAGGAGAATGATAAAAAGAAGGATTCTCAGAACATCCTGAAGGAAGAAAGAACAAACAAATAGTAAAAATATGGGCAATAAAACAGACTTTACTGTTCCTTGAGTTTTCAAAATAATGTTTAACAATTGAAGCAAAAATTGTTACACGATGCAAAAGCTATGGTGGGTAAAACTGTTGATGCATTTCCAAAACTGAAAGCAGTTGGCACCAAGCTGTATTAGAAGTTGTCACATTCTCAATTGGCACTACAACTACAGTAAAAATAATGTAGAGTATCATTGAGAATATCACTGATGAAGCAGCAAAAATCATTAATGTTTTAAGTCTTGATCCATGAATACACATCTTTTAATTATCTATGTGACAAAACGAGAAATAAAGAGTAAAATAATTGTTACACCATAGTTTTTCTTGAGGAAAGAATTTGTGATCATGTGATTTATAAACTGAAATAAATGCTTTTTTCATGGAACACCGGTTTTACATGTAAGAACAAATAACAAACCACAATTATTAAAACTTGATTATCTAACATATTTCTTGAAAAAAGGAATAAAGTGAGCCTGTCACTTCAAGGAAAACAACTTAGAACATGAGTGGACAATAAGAAGATTTGAAAAACTTATATCCAACAATGTAAGCTTAACTAATTCCAATACTTAAAGACTTTTCTGATGAGATCAGTGGATTATAACAAATGTGAATTTTGTTATTTATTAAAAATGTGTAGGACTAGGCAAGGTGGCTCACACTTGTAATCCCAGCACTTTGGGATCACTGGAGGCCAGGAGTTCAAGACCAGCCTAGCCAACATAGTGAAACCCCATCTCTACTAAAAATATGAAAATTAGCTGGGCCTGGCGGTGCATGCCTATAGTCCCAGCTACTCAGGAGGCTGAGGCATGAGCATCACTTGAACCCAGGAGACAGAAGTGAGCTGAGATCGCACCACTGCATTCCAGCCTGGGCAACAGAGTGAGATTCTGTCTCAAAACAAACAAAACAAAACAAACAAACAAACAAACAAAAACAACCGTATCAATAGTTGGAATATCTGGATCACTCAGTGAACCAATATTTTCCAAAGACCACTTAGTAATCTTATAAAATCATATATGGGTAAAAGATCCCCTGAAATTGCAAGGTAGTCTAATAAATTTTATATATATATGTGTGTGTGTGTGTGTGTGTGTGTGTGTGTGTATGTGTATATATATATATATATATATATATATATATATATATTTTTTTTTTTTTTTTTTTTTTTTTTTTTTGTCTGAGATGGAGTCTCACTCTGTCACCCACGCTGGAGTGCAGTGGCACAATCTCGGCTCACTGCAACCTCCACCACCTGGGTTTAAGCGATTCTCTGTCTCGGCCTCCCCCGTAGATGGGACTGCAGGTGCCTGCTACCATGCCCGGCTGATTTTTGTATTTTTAGTAGAGACGGGGTTTCACAATCTTGGCCATGCTGGTCTTGAGCTCCTGACCTCGTGATCCACCCGCTTCAGCCTCCCGAAGTGCTGGGATTACAGGCGTAAACCACTGCGCCCGGCCCATAAATTATAATTTTAAAGGGTAAAGATATAAAGTTCATTGATGGGATTGCAGTCTTCAGATTGCACCAAACCACTTGAAAAACTTGCGAAACTACCACTTCTCAAGCTTTGGTTTAGTATCAAACAAGAATATTCATTAGGGCTTGTGCTTTCATTCTTATAGTATCTTTTAATAAACAGAAGTTATTTCTCAAATGTAGTTGAATGCTCCAATATTTTCCTTTACATTCAGTGCTGTATCTCAAGAACTCTTTTACAAAAATATTATCCTATATTATCTTTTTAAATATAAATAAAAATAATTATCTTTTTAAAAGCTTATGAGTTCAGGTAGAAATATGAAGGGCTAAAAGGAATTGGAAGACATTTTCCTACTATTTGTTCTTTCTCTTGATTTTCATGATTCATTATTCTTGTAGAAGTGACCTTACCACAGTATAAGGTTCACTTATAATCACTGTTCTGCCTTGTAATTTTAGGTGAATTTGTTACAAAATATTATGAAATCTACAGGAAAAGCCAACTTTCAAAGCTATTAAGTATTTGACTTAATAGTTGAGGGCATTATTATTCAGAAAAATTTCAATCTCATTCCGCAGCGCAAAAAACTGCAATAAAACTTTACCACTGCCAAGTCACTAAATTGCTATGTAGAATGGCAATTCAGTATATTCTGCCTCTATATCTAACAAAAATTCATAGGATTTGATGATGAAGTCCACAAATGCAAGTCAAAATCACTGCTGACACTATTATATAATAGTTCACTAAAACATGACAGATTTAAATATTTTCTGCAAAGTACCTGCTAATAAATAATACAGTAAATAATCAGGCTTTAAACACCTGACATTTAACAAGCTTTGTAAATTTGTCCAACTCAAGTCTTTCTGCTCCACAGTTATTTTTGCCACTATCAACTGTAACGCATCTTAGCGGATTCCACTTCAGGTTGTACTAAGTTAGTGTTTGCTCAACTTTTCTGAAAATATTTTCTCTTGTAGTTGTTTCACATAGACTATGCATAAACACTAATTCTTCCATCACTTCAAACTCAGCACTAACTTCTGGAGTATGTAACAACTGAACAGTACTGGTAACACCTATTCATCCATCAAAAGCCTAAGAAAACCATGAAAAATCATTCACCCTTCTTTCCAAAATGACTTGATATTACTCCCAACGTCCTTAACTTTTAGAGCAATTACTCTCGCTGAAAGGCTAATAGTCTTTTTTAAAGTTTATTTTCTATGGACACATCTTTGTTTACCTTAATAAAACATAATTTAATTAACTACTGTTGGTAATGGTTTTCCTTGCTTGGCTAACAAATAAGCCATTGAAAAACTTACTTTAATTATAGCCTAATTTCCATTTTTTGTTTTTGAGAAGAAATTCTGCTGTGATAAAATTTTGTTTTAATTTACTATTTTTTTTTCTGACCTTTTAGTTTTATTCCTGTTGGCTGGGAATATTGTGAGAAGTGCCAAGTCTGGTAATGCTGACATATATTATATTCTTTTAGCACAGCCATAGTCTTCTAGCATAATAAATATAATGCTTTGCTATCTAATTTGTTAATAATAATATACATTCCACTATACCTCTAAAGTGTTACATATAAAGTCCACTTTTCTCCTTTTCTTGTTTTAACATGATAGGTGGGTATGCACTGGTAATGAGAGAAATAAATAAGATGCCAGGGCAATATGTGTGGCGCGCACACACACACACACATACTGACAAACTGTAACTATGTCATTGTGATTCGTAGCATGCAGAGCAGCAATTTGAAATATATGTGCTCTCTGCAGCAACCAACTCTGACACTGTAGTGCAACAGAAGTCATATATAATGCCCAAATAAATGGGTGTGGTTTTGTTCCCATAAAACATTAGTTTTAAACACTCATACCTGAATGTCGTTATGATTTCCTGTGTCATAAAATATTATTCCCTTTTAAATTTTTTTCAGACATTTTAAAAGGTAAAAAACATTTTTAGCTCATGTCCCACATAAACACAGCTGGAGGACCGAATGTGACCCCACAGGCTGTCATTTGCTGACACCTCCATCCACCCCTCTGTAGCCTTCAGGGTCCTAAATAAACTTCTATAGCATTTAATGACCCCTAAATTCCCTTTTTGTCTTCCCAGCTCTGCAGACTGCCAGAAGCTTCTCAGCTTTTCAACCTCTCAGCTGGATTTTTTTGAACTGAGTAATTAACTCAAGGGGAAAAGAAAATTTAAGGTCAGGCCAAACTCTGCACAACCTTACCCTCTGAATTCTCACTCCCTCAGGTCCTCACCACTCTTCTAGTTTTCTGATCCCTTAAATATTTATTTGAAACAACATTTTATACAGCTTTTCTAATTGTTCTCAGTGGAAAGGCTAGTCTAAACCAAGTATCTCTGCCATAGGAAGAGGTGGAAATAACACTTATACTACCGAATAGAAAGACTTAGTATAAAGCTACAGTAACAATGACATCATGATATATCACTGGGATTCTCAAATACACAAAGAATAAAACAGAGAACCTACCAACAATCTAAAATACATTGAACGTTTGCTATATAATAGGTTATATTTCAAATGTGGAGGAAAAAGATGTTTCAATAAATGGTGTAGTAACAATTGGCTGTCCATGTGTGAAAAAATGATACTGGACCCCTTATATCACATGATACACAAATCAATTTCAAATAGATAAAACACACAATAGTGCACAACTAGAGAAATAAGTTTTTGAAGTATATTTTCAAAACAAGTTAGAAACTGTTAAAAGGTTTTTAATTTTTGAAATAAAAACATTACCATGGTTCAAAAGTTCCTAAAGGGTATGCAGTATAAAATCACTTTGTATACAACTATATAAAATAAGTTTCCTACAGGCAAAGAATTTTACCAGTTTCCTATGCATCCTTCACAAGATATTTTATGCAGATGTAAGTTCATATTATTCTCCACCCCTCCCCTAAACTTTACATTCAAGGGGTCCTTTACAATACCAAAGAATACCACCCACCTCATCACAAAGGTAAGTTCATTTCTTTAAACTTATTTAATACTAAAAAGAAAGATTAAAATTAAATTGAGACATCTTCATTGAATGGGCCTACCAAAATTTAACTGTTTTTAAATAGGCATACAAAACTCTTAATTTTCTAAAACAAATTTTTCAGCTTCCTCTTAGCTCCAGAGTCAAGGTGTCAAGGTGACGGGAAATAAACATATTCATTCATTCCCTCATTCATTCATTTTTGAGACAAAGTCTGGCTCTGTTGCCCAGGCTGGAGTGCAGTGGTGCAATCTCAGCTGACTGCAACCTCTGCATCCTGGGCTCAAGCCATCCCTCCCACCTCAACCTCTTGAGTAGCTGAGACTACAGGTGTGCACCACCACACCTGCCTTTTTTTTTTTTTTTTTGGTACTTTTAGTGAAAAGACAGGGTCTTGTCACATTGCCCAGGCTGGTCTCGAACTTGTAGCTCAAGTTATGTGCCTGCCTCAGCCTCCCAAAGTGCTGGGATTACAGGTGTGAGCCACTATGCCCAGCCACATCAATTTTTAAGTAGATATATGCCTAACGGCATTCCAAGGTCAAATAAATATCTAGGATTATCTTGCTGTACCGACACCTTGCACTTAACATTGTGATGAAATAATCCATTGTTAATTTTTTGATGCCTTCCTTCTATCCCTGCATTTCAGAGTGAAAAGATAAAACAATTTCTTACTGTGTACATGATGATTGAGTACTGACAGGTAACATGACCTGGGGAAGAAGTCACTTGACATTAGCTAACAATGTCAGAGACAGATTAAGAAGTGAAGACTCCCGATTGCTTCCCATTAAAAATAATAATTATGACCAGGTATGGTGACATGTACCTGTAGTCCCAGCTATGTGGGAGGCTGAGCTGGAAACATTGCTAGAGTTCATAGTTGCAGTATACTATCATTACATGTGTGAATAGCCACTGCACTCCAGCATGAGCAACACAGCAAGATCCCTCTCTGCCGGACCCGCCACTCCCAAAATAGAAGACTCTATCTCTTAAAAAATAAATATTATTAGGTTTTATTTAGAAACTTTTATTTAGAAAATCTTATAATACAAAAACACACTTGAGAGGCATTTGAGATTATTGACCATACCTCCTTAAATCTATTAATCCAAACTACTATAATTTCTACTATACTTCCTGTAACTTATTCTGTGTTAACATCCACCTTTTCACTGGTTCTTCCTCAGAGCATTGACCAAAGGATCAATCTTCCATCTTCTTTTCTCTTCTTGTTCTCCAAAGTCAGTTTGATTTGCCACCACTGCTAGTTAGGAAAACTGTCTATGATTCCTACCCTGACATTTAGTGTCAAAGCCATTTCACACGGTTTCAGGCTCAGCACAACCAAACAAAACTTGTGATCTTCCAACATACTTAGACTTGAAAAAAAAGACATCTGCAGTTCCTCCATCTAATTTATAAAGAATCAAATACTATGCATTCTATTACAATATTTCATCTTTATGTTTTACACATAATACCTAAACTCAAGATTTTACACTCATTGGCCTTTAATTTATAGCAGTAATCCTAAATATGTTTGTCTTCAAGTAAACCTTTTCCAATTCAATTACAAAGGGCTGGGGGAATTTAGATCATTTAATACTGCTCTTCTTATTTAAAAGGTACATTACTGAAATTCCTCATCTTGGTATGCAAAGCCAAGGAAATTTTCCATTCCTGTCCCCTAGTATTCTCTACCCTACTTATTCTCCAGTCATTCTTACGTATGTGCCATTTTTCCAAAATCCATATACCCTCATAGTTTCAAACCCTGTAAAGGGTGACCCTCTGTCTAGAATCCCTATGTTAATCTACTGAAACTTACCCATCCTCCAAGCACCACCTTAAATCTTTCCTTCTTTAAAAATATTTTCAGATTCCCTCAGTTAAAACATATTTCCAATAATAGACACTGTTTATTGCCTATAAAATATCCATTCCCCCTTTTTCCTTCCTACAGATTTCCACTTTTTCAGATACGCACCCTGCTCTAAGCAGAAACATGCTTCAGAGGGGCTAAATACTCTCCCCAGCCTCAGAGGAAAGCCATCATGGCTGTCTCAACTTCTTTATCAGTTATTGGTTTAAGATATGAACGCTCGGCTGGGCGCAGTGGCTCACGCCTGTAATCCCAGCACTTTGGGAGGCCGAGGCGGGCAGATCACGAGGTCAGGAGATCGAGACCATCCTAGCTAACACGGTGAAACCCCGTCTCTACTAAAAATACAAAAAAAATTAGCCGGGCATGGTGGCGGGTGCCTATAGTCCCAGCTACTCGGGAGGCTGAGGCAGGAGAATGGCGTGAACCCAGGAGACAGAGCTGGCAGTGAGCCGAGATCACGCCACTGCACTCCAGCTTGGGCAACAGAACGAGACTCCGTCTCAAAAAAAAAAAAAAAAAAAAAAAGATATGAACACTCAAGGTAATTCTAGCTAATAAAATGTTAAGAGGAATATGCCAGGGGCAGGGCGTGGTGGCTCACGCTTATAATCCTAGCACTTTGGGAGGCTGAGGCGGGCGGGTCACCTGAGGTCAGGAGTTCAAGACTAGCCTGGGCAACATGGCGAAACCCCATCCCATCCCTACTAAAAATACAAAAATTAACCGGGCGTGGTGGTGGGTGCCTATAATCCCAGCTACTCCAGAGGCTGAGGCAAGAGAATCACTTGAACCTGGGAGACAGAGGTTGCAGTGAGCCGAGATCGCGCCACTTCAATCCAGCCTGGGCGAAAGGCGAAACTCCATCTCAAAAAAAAAAAAAAGAGAGAGAGAGAGAGAGAGAAATATGCTAGGATGGGACAAGCATCTGGCAAGGATTTTTCCTTAATTAACATAATAATAAAAAGGTTCCTTTTTCCTTTCTGCCTCTGAATGCTATCCTGAGAGTACAATGCTTAGAGGTCCTGCCCACTATCTTTTGCTCATGAGAGGAACTGGATCAAGAAAGAGACCAATATGTTCTGGATGCACCAAGAAAAGATGTTAAGACCCTGACAACTTGTTATCATGAAGCTACTGAACTACCCATCACCCTAACTCCTAATTTTCTATTGTGAAATAATAAACTTCTTAGTTACTTGCATAATACTTCTAATTCTGACCAAGATGGAGTCACAGAGACCGGATTATCGGATTTACGCTCCTCCTGAAACAACCATAAAAAATGAAGACATGGCAGGGCATGGTGGCTCACACCTGTAATCCCAGCACTTTCAGAGGCTAAGACAGGTGCGTCACTTGAGGTCAGGAGTTTGAGACCAGCCTGACAAACATGGTGAAATCCCATCACCACTAAAAAGAAAGAAAGAAAGAAAAAGAAAGAAAGAAAGAAAGAAAGAAAGAAAGAAAGAAAGAAAGAAAGAAAGAAAGACAGAGAGAGAGAGAGAGAGAGAGAGAGAGAGAGAGAGAGAAAGAAAGAAAGACGTGAATATATGTGAACATATATATGCTATGTGAACATCAGGCAACAAAGGACTGTAGAGCTTTGAGAAATGAGAAACAAAAGAGGTGAGCCCTACATATGCCCCAGCACACAACGATAAGAGTTTCCAGGCCATGGCATAGAGAGTGGCAACTGAGGCAAATCTCAGCTGACTCCTGAGTTGGAAAGAGAAAGTTAAGAGCCAGGAGAGAAAAAAGCAGCAAGGAATAACTGCACAGAATGCTGAGAGGAGACAGTTGCATAGAAAAGAACCCCAGAGGTCTATAGAGATCTTCTCTCAAGCATTCACCAGATAACTGATCAGCATATGCATATGAGGAAACTATGAGAATCCAGAAAAAGAACCATCAGAAACAATGGGAGGGAACAGGGCCTGATACTCATACAAAGCCAGGAATAGTATCTGTTCCCACTAGCCAAACTGGGAAAACTATTAATTCATGGAACATTCAACAGAGTCCACAGAAAGTCTTGCCTCAGTGGTGAGGAATAATTAGTCCTGGACTAAGCACTCCTTCATATCTGTCTAATAAATCATAAAAACAAAACCCAAAAGAATGAAACGGTTTATAAGTAACTCAACTACATCTCAAAACAAAGCTCAAGAAGATTTATAGAATAAAGAAAATAGCCAGAACCCAAGGTAAATTTTACAACTAAATAAAGATTACCAGGCATAAAAAGCAGCAGACAATCATGATGCAAACTGAAAATAATCAATCAAAACTGACCCAGAACTTAAATAGATGTTAAAATTAGCAGAGGAGGACATTCAACTGTTTTTATACATGTATCCCATATAATCAAAAAGTTAAATAGAGACATGGGAGATAAACAAGAAAAGCCAAAATCAAACTTTCAAAGACAAAAACATTTGAGATGAAAATTACATTGGATGAACTAAAGCAGATTAGAAACTGCAGAAGAAAAGATTAGCAAACTTGAAGATACAAGAACAGACACTAGCTAAAGTACAAAAAGAAAAAAAAAATCTTAAAAAGTGATTTTTAAAAAGCATCAGTGAGCAGTCAGGCAACTTCAAATAGCCTAATAATATGCAGGTAACTGGAGTCCCCAAAGGAGAAAAAAGAGGAAGAGAAAAAAAATACTTGAAGAAACAACTGCTGAAAATGTTCTAGCCATAAAAAGACCTATTAACTCACGGATCCAAGAAACTCAGCAAACCCCAAGCACAAGAAACATGAAGAAAATTACATTAAGGGATAACATAATCAAATTGTTCAAAATCAGGGATATATTATTAATAGCAGCTGTATAAAAAGACATGTTACCTATAGAAGAACAAAGATAAGAACAACATCAGATTTCTTTTGAGAAACAATGCAAGTGAGAAGACAGCAGTACATCTCTAAAGTTCTAGAAGAAAAAAGGCCAACTAGAATTCCATGCCTGGCAAAAATATCTTTCAAAAATGAAGGTGAAATAAAGGCACACCAGAAACATAAATAATGAAATAATTCATCACCAGGAGACTTTCACTGCAAGAAATGTTAAAGGATATTCTCCAGAAACAAAATGATGTCAGATGAAAATCTGGATCAATACGAAGGAATAAAGAGCACCACAGTGGTAACTATATGAGCAAACATCTTTTAAATTTTTTATTATTTAAATCTCTAAGAGATATATGTTTAATAAAAGACAGCAAAATATTACAGAGTTTATAACATATATAAAAGTCAAATGCATGGCAGCAATAGCACAAAGTGCACGAGGGAGGAAAAGAAAGCAAATGAAGGAATGCTTTTATTATAGATGAAGTGTACAATATTACTTGAAGGTAGACCTCTCTAAATGTACACTATAATCTTAAAGCAACTACAAAAATAATTTTTAAAAACAGGTAAAAGTAATAAAAAGAGGCAAACTGGAATCATAATAAATAATGTAGGCTGGGCACGGTGGCTCACGCCTGTAATCCCAGCACTTTGGGAGGCCAAGGTAAGCGGATCACAAGGTCAGGAGATCGAGACCATCCTGGCCAACATGGTGAAACCCCGTCTCTACTAAAAATACAAAAATTAGCTGGGTGTGGTGGTGCACGTCTGTAATCCCAGCTACTCAGGAGACTGAGGCAGGAGAATCGCTTGAACCCAGGAGGCGGAGACTACAGTGAGCCGAGATAGCGCCACTGCACTCCAGCCTGGCAACAGAGCGAGACTCTATCTCAAAAAATAAATAAATAAATAAATAAATAAATAAATAAAGTAAAAGAATCCAAGAAGACCAGGTGCAATGGCTCACACCTGTAATCCCAGCACTCTGGGTGGCCAAGGCAGGAGACTCACTTGAGCTCAGGAGTATGAGACCAGCCTGGACAACATAGTGAGACCCCATATATAAAAAAATAAAACAAAGTAGCCAGGTGTGGTGGTGCACAACTGTGGTCTCCACTATTGGGAGGCTGAGGTAGATCACTTGAGCCTAGCAGGTCAAGGCTGCAGTAAGGTATGATCACACCACTGCACTCTAGCTTGGGTGACAGAGTAAGACCCCATCTTGGCAGGTGGGGGATGCAAGAAAAATGATGCAAGGAACAGATAGAGATAAATAGAAAACATATAAGAAGACAATCACATTAAATGTACATGGTCTAAATACCCCCAATTAAAAAGCAGAGGTTTTAGACCATATACATTTAATGTGATTGTCTTCTTATATGTTTTTATCAGAGAAATAAAACTATCGCCTTCAAGAAACACAAGTTAAATACAAAGATGCAAACAGGTTAAAATAAAAGAATGGAATAATATACACCATGCTTACGCTAGTCAAGAGAAAGCTAGAGTAGAAATACTAATATGAGGCAAAGCATATTTCAGAGTTAAACACAACATTTTTCTACTACTTGCAGTCAAAAGTATCATTAACAGTCTCTTTACTCTGCTCAAAGTTACAAAGTTCTTTTGTATAAACATTAGAACACTTATCACAGCCTGTCTATAATGGAGAATAATTCAATGTTATATACTATACAACACTCTTACTATAGTCCATTAGACAGAAATATGTAGCATTTGAGACACCTTCCAATTATAAAACTCTATGCAAACAAAAATTAACAAAGCAGATCTGAGACTATTACATTATCCTGTGAAGGAGGGTCTGTCTGTTTGCACAGTTGGTCCTAGGCTGGCTTCTGAGAACTTGAATTTCAAGAGGGTTCCCTAACTGGTAATCATGGTTTACTATATCTAGACTATGGAAATAATGTGGCTTATCCTGCTATTCTTTTTATGAGTCTGGAAATTTCACACATGCTAGGCAGAGAGTACACCTACATGACCAGCCTAGATAAAAACTGTGTTTCTTGGGCAGTCACATATGTTGTTGTATTTTCGTTAAGGGGGAAAGAAGGTAGTCTGTGTGATCCTCATGGAAGGCACAGCACATAAGGAAGCTGGTACATGGATTTTTCCAGACTCTGTCAGTGTCTTTTGCCATTGAGGTCTTTCTACTATATATCCATACTATGTTACAGTAATAAATCTTAGCCATTACAACCCTAAGCTGATCCCATGAGTCCTTCTAGCAAATCTCCAAACATGGAGGCAGTCTTGTGGACCCCTGACACAAATATATGGTTGTGATCTCTTAAGGTTTATCCTTCCTCTTAAACTATAAAGAGCTGGCCGGGCACAGTGGCTCACGCTTGTAATGCCAGCACTTTGGGAGGCTGAGGCGGGTGGATCACGAGGTCAAGAGATTGAGACCATCCTAGCCAACATGGCGAAACCCCGTCTCTACTAAAACTACAAAAAGTAGCTGGGCATGCTGGCACACATCTGTAGTCCCAGCTACTCGGGAGGCTGAGGCAGGAGAGTCGCTTGAACCAGGGAGGCAGAGGTTGCAGTAAGCCGAGATCGCGCCACTGCACTCCAGCCTGGTGACAGAGGGAAACTTCATCTCAAAAAAAAGAAAAAAACTATAAAGGGCTGGGCGCAGTGGCTCACGCCTATAATACTAGCACCTTGGCAGGCCCAGGTGGGAGAACTGCTTGGGCCCAGGAATTGAGACCAACCTGGAAAACAGAGCAAGACCCTGTCTCCTAAAAAAAAAAAAAAAAAGAAAAGTTGGCCGGGTGTGATGGATCACACCTGTAGTCCCAACACTTTGGGAGGCCGAAGTGGGCAAATCACAAGGTCAGGAGTTCGAGACCAGCCTGGCCCACACGGTGAAACTCCATCTCTACTAAAAAAAAAATACAAAATATTCGCTGGGCATGGTGGTGGGCACCTGTAATCCCAGCTACTTGGAAGGCTGAGGCAGGAGAATCACTTGAACCCGGGAGGCAGAGGTTGCAGTGAGCCGAGATCATGCCACTGCATTCCAGCCCGCTGACAGTGTGAGACTCCATCTCAAAAAAATAAAAAAGAAAAGAAAAGAAAAGTTAGCCAGGTGTGGTGGCATGCATTTGTGATCCCAGCTACTCTAAAGGCTGAGACGGGAGGACTGCTTGAGCCTAAGAAGTCAAGGTTGCAGTAAGCCATGATCGTGCCACTGCATTCCAGCTTAAACAACTGAGATGCTATCTCTTAAAAACAGAAGTAGAAGCAAACAACTATAGGGGAAAATGAGGGATACATACTTTAAGAATTTCTAAAAATTTACATGGAAAAACACTAGGATTCTATAGAAAATAAAACAGTATTAAATAACATTATTTATAAAATAGATACTAGCAAATTACCTTACGTAAAGATTCAAGTCAGTAACTTAAAGGATCTTACATAAAAGTACTTTCCATTGGTTGGAGGAGAGACTTTTACTATACACTGTTTTTCAACTTTTTTAGACAAATTACATTTAGAAGTTTAAATTTGCCTATCTACATTCTTAATGTGAATTGCCACCTTACTATAGGAAGGCTATTTTTGTTTCTGCAGTCTACAAAAAGAACAAAAATATTAAAAACGTACAACTCTTCTCACAGAACTAAGTTGGTTTTACACAAAGACATCTGGCACAAAATACAATGAAATTTCAATATAGAATTACAGCAGGGGATGAGGGTGGAGAAGGAAGAGATTACCAATTCTATGAGGGGAGACAACAGAAGTATTTTTTTAATGTCTTATTTTAAGAGTAAAACACCTGGTTTTTTTTGAGATGGAGTTTTAGGCAGGAGTGCAATAGAACGATCTTGGCTCACTGCAATCTCTGCCTCCAGGATTCAAGTGATTCTCCTGCCTCAGCCTCTCGAGTAGCTGGGATTACAGGCACACGTCACCATGCCAAGCTAATTTTTGTATTTTTAGTAGAGAGGGGGTTTCATCACATTGGCCAGGCTGGTTTCAAACTCCTGACCTCAGCCTCAGCCTCCCAAAGTGCTAGGATTACAGGCGTGAGCCACCATGCCCAGCCAACACTGAACATTTTATTCAGAAATAGTTAAGAAAACAGAAATATACATTGGGGGTTTATGGATTACTTCTTTTTGGGGGGCAATACTGGGAATAGAAGAGAAAGGAGCTTCCTTTCCCTTTCCTTCTTTCATTCATTCATTCATTTTGAGAAGAAGTCCTGCTCTGTTGCCCAGGATGGAGTGCAGTGGCGAAAACTCAGCTCACTACAACCTCCACCTCCTGGGTTCAAGAAATTCTCCTGCCTCAGCCTCCCAAGTAGCTGAGATTACAGGCACACACCACCACACACGGTTAATTTTTATATTTTTTTAGTAGAGACAGGGTTTTGCCATGTTGGTTAGGCTGGTCTCGAACTCCTGACCTCAGGTGATCCACCCGCCTCAGCCTCCCAAAGTGCTGGGATTACAGGCATGAGACGCCGCGCCTGGCCAAGAAAGGAACTTTAGATAAATAAAATGATTAAACATTTGTAGCATGTAGAATGAAAATATTCCCTCAGTAATACTCAAATTATCCAGATTTCCAAGATGTTGGTAGCACCCTGAGAGCTTCAAAAGGGAAATTAAAAGAAAAACGACGTTACCCTTCCTGAAACACAGATTCACTGTTTGCCATGTTCTTTTCTCTAGTAAAAAATGAATAAAGTTTCCCCTGGAAAAACTAAAAACAATCTGAGGTATGTTTCAGAGAAAACAAAATTGCTTGACAAAAATGCCATGTTAACAACCGAGGAAATTACTTTAAATATATTAATTTTAACACAGGAATAATATGTCAAACCAGGATTTCTCAACCTCAGCACTATCGGCATTTTAAGCTGTATAGTTTTGGTGTGGGAGGCTGTCCTGCATATTGCAGAATGTTTAGCGGCAGTCCTGGCCTCTACCCAAGAGGCCAGCCAGTAGGACCTACCTCCTCATTCAAGCTAATGCACTAAATTTTGCCCTTCATTGACAAATCCCATTAATGCATGTATTTATCCCATTAGTGACTCTCTTGTGTTCCAGATACTTTGTTAGGCACCAGAGAAAATATGATAAAGCAAAACAGCTATTTTCCTCACTCTCATGGTGCTTACAGCCATGGTGGGAAAAATCCATAGAAAAAGACTCACATACACAAATGCAGACAGAATAAAAAACTCACACAAACAAACGCTGCAGATGTTAAGTTACATAAAGGAGATATGCATGGCTGTGCATGGTGGCTCATGCCTGTAATCTTAGCACTTGGGGAGGCCAAGGCAGGCGGATCACCTGAGGCCAGGAGTTCAAGACCAGCCTGGCCAACATGGCGAAACCCTGTCTCTACTAAAAATACAAAAATTAGCCAGGCGTGGTGGTCCACGCCTATGATCTCAGCTACCTGGGAGACTGAGGTGGGAGGATGACTTGGGCCCAGGAAGCAGAAGGTGCAGTAAACTGAGATTGCGCCACTGCAATCTCAGCCTAGGAGACAGAGAGAGACTATGTCTCCAAAAACAAAAAAAAAGAGAGAGAAGACATACATATTCCACTGAGAATGTATAATAAAGCTGCATACTCAAACATTTCTTATTAAAAGATGTGCACAATCAAAAAATTTACAAAATACTGCAACCCCTCACCTGAGCTTTATAGTATCTCATTCCCTTCCATTTTCTTAGATTAAAAAGCCTAATTCTAACTTTGGTTTATTTTAATACCTAGTTTCTATGGCTCTCATAGGTTTAAAAAAACAGGTTCTCCCCAAAAGTAAAATGATCTAATTAGAAGTAGTACATGATTTCTGCAACCATTTTTAAATCTCAACCGAAATTATCAAAATTTAAGCAAATAAAATTTCACCCTCTCTAATAAAAATATTGAATGTTTAATAAATGGGCTTAAACCAGAGCTCTTTAGAATATTTTAAACATATCAGAAAATTCCATGTTCAAGTTTCTTTTAAGGTGACAAACATGAGAGTTTTTTGTTTTGTTTTTACAACCTTCATTATTTCTGACAATAAAATATCAATATAAATAGTTCAAAACATCTGTTTTCAAAATGTTCAACGCCCCAGGACATGTTTCTTTGAAAAGTCACTGCATTCTCAATGTTGAAATGTCATCTTTATCTTGAAGGGGCAGGTTAAGTGTTTGTTTTCTTTGAAAATAGAGCTAGGTATCAGAATATACTCAGCTACATAATAAAGGTCAGCAAATTTCATTTTTCATTTTTTATTTTAATAGAGACGAGATCTCACTATGTTGCTCAGGCTGGTCTCAAACTCCTGGGCTCAAGAAATCCTCCCATCTTGGCCTCCCAACATGCTAGAATTACAGGTGGGAGGCACTGCACCTAGCCAAGGTCAGCAAAATCGACCTTTTGGCAAAATAAAAACGTCTTCTAAGTTCAATAGCTATATCGCCCCTAGGGAAACTTTTGTGATAGCAGAAATTTTCCTTGGCTCCTCCTTCCCAATCATTTCTGTAGAACTGTAAAGATTTGCTCTATTTAGAGATTAAGTATATAAACTTTCATGTAATTAGCCATATTGATAACCTCCAGTAACACTTTTGGGTACTTAGAACTTATTTGCTGCCTATGAATGATTCCATGAATGATCTTCAGTGCTATTAATTAGTCTACAAATATTCACTGAGGAATAACCAAAACAGAAAAAAACCCCATCCGAATGGCACTAGTATACTAGTGAGAGGGAGATGAACAATAAGTAAGATTATTACGTGAATATACACTCTGTCAGAGGTGATAAGTACGAAAAAGAAAACAAAAAAGCAGATATTATGGGAAGGCATTTGAAATCTTTGACAGCAAGCCTAGCAAAGGCCTCACTGTAAAGTCACGCTTGAATAAATACATAAAGGATATGAGGGGGCAACACATGCATTATGAAAGGCCCTGAGGTGGATCTGCGTCTGCGTACTTGAGTAAGACCAATGAGGTCAGCATGGCTGAAGGAAGTAAATGAACAAACGGTTATAGTGAAAGATGTCTGAGAAGTATACGTGAGGTGTGGTGAAGATCATGTAGAGCCTTACAGGTTAGCAAGGAATCTTTTTTTTTTTTTTCTCAGAATAAAATGGGAAGTCACTGAAGAGTGTTAAGTAGAGCAGTGACATGACTGGACAATCTATTTACATCAGTATGGACTCGTGTACTTATTCTATGGATGAAAATGCAATATTATCATTATTTTTGTGGTTGCTAAAATTGGTCCAGTTCTTAGGAGCTCCTTCAGGTAGGTTCCCGTGCTTTGAACAGGTTTTCATCTTTTTAAGCACTTCATTACTTTCTGGCACCACAAGATGATCTAGGCTTACCTTGTATTTTCTCTGCACCAGTCCCGTAAGGAACTACTTCTCAAGGAGCCCTGGTTCCTTTCATTGAAGAGCAATGGTTGGAGACCAAGATCTAAGCACTAGGTATTCTCAATGCTACTGGGGTGTCATTGTTTCTATGCCCTCTCAGGGGATAGAGGTAGGAAATACACATATTCAAATTAACTCATACATATGCACACATCTATATTTCTGTATGTCTGTGTAAATATTAAAAAACATGAGTTTATTTTCATACTTCTGATCTCAACACTACAGCATGACTGTACAGTTCTTTTTGCCTCTAGTTTTATGTTATTTAATCAAGACACTATTTTCTACAGTTACTTAGGTGAGTTCTTTCCCTCCCTATCCTCTTTTATGTGAATTTTACTATTCCTTTTTGGGTTCTCCTGCATCTGGGTAGGTGGTAATTGCTTATTTGGTCTCCCACATCCTGGTTGGTGGCAATTGCATAGAAGCATTTAAAACATTCCTATGGTTCTAAGAATCAGAGTTATACTGACAAATATACTCTGAGAAGTGCCACTCACATTTCATCCATGCTACACAGATCTCCACTCCCTTCTTCTCCCTCCCACTCCCTACAGGTAACCAATCTCTAGTTTCTGATTTATCTGCATGGTACTCCATTATATGGCTATATGGATGTAACACAGTTTATTCAAACCTTCTCCTCTGTGTGGGCATTTAGTTTGTTTCCAATATTTCGCAAATTAAATAATACTATAATTAATAACATTAAGTAATACATAATTTGTATTGTTAGAGGCATATTCAGCATAGATTCCTAGAATAATTGAGAGGTAAATGCATACAGTTTGTTAGGTATCACCAAATTTCCCTCCAAAAGATGTGTACCAATTTGCATCTGCAGCAGCAAAGAATGAGAGTACCTGTTTCCCCACAGCCCTGTCAACAAATGTGTTGTTTTATGTTTGAATTTTTGCCAGTGAGACAAGTCTTCCTTTCTTGAGACAAAGTTCTAGCTAACTGGTCCATCTTGTGCCTATTTGATAATGAAGAATAATGAACAAAAGCCAGGCGTGGTGGCACATGCCTATAATCCCAGTACTTCGGGAGGATGAGGTGGGAGTATCGCTTAAGCTCAGGAGATAGAGACTAGCCTGGACAACACAGCAGAACCTAGCCTCTACAAAAAATTTAAAAACTAGTTAGGCGAGGTGGCGCATGCCTGTGGTCCCGGATATTCGGGAGGCTCGGGGGAGAACTGTTTGAGCCTGGGAAGCCAAGGGTGCCAATGAGCCGTGATCATGCCACTGCTCTCCAGCCTGGACAACAGGGTGAGACCCTGGAAATAAGGGAGGAAAGAAGAGGAAGGAAGGAAAGAAGAGGGAGGAAGGAAGGAAGGAAGGAAGGAAGGAAGGAAGGAAGGAAGGAAGGAAGGAAGGACGGTAGGAAGGAAGGAAGGAAGAAAGAAAGGAAGGAAGGAAGGAAGGAAGGAAGGAAGACGAAGGACAGAAGAGGAAGGAAAGAGGGAGGGAGGGAGGGAGGGAAGGAGAGAGGGAGAGAGGGAGGGAAGGAGGGAGGAAGGGAGGGGAGAAGGAAGAAGGACAAAACAAACAACCGTACAAATGGCGACACAAAACTGACACTCCTGTGAGTTTTGAGTGATTCAATCTAGTGGAGAGGTAAAGATTTGACAGAGTTACCACTAGATCCCTTCTAATCCCCACATGGTCTACCAACTCCAAGTACTCAATCTGCATTTAACTTGCTTAGGCCCACCAAATTCTAATGCCTAAACAAAGTCGGAAGGGATGCAATGTCTCCTAAGGGCTTGTGATTCCTCTGCCAGTGGTAGGACACAGTCTTCATCTCTAAATACCATTTAATTATTAATCAGTAAGAACAAAAATGGTAACTTCTGTCCAAAAGGGACAGAGTGAGGCAAGTTTTCTTTTAACTACCTTCCTAGCAAACAGAGGTAGGAAATACATGGACACATACAAACTCATGCAAATACATACACCTACATTTCTGTACTAAGTATCAAACACTACGAGTTTATATTGATTCCTCTGGTTCTAATCCACCACCAAAAAGCTCATTTAGCCTTTGTTACCTTCCCTGTAATACTTTTCACTGTCACAAAATAGCCCAAAATAAAAATTACTTTTATGAAGTAATTCATAAAACAGATGGTTTTCACTGAAATATCATTGTCTTAATCCAGTCTCTAAGAATGTTCAGGCTGGGGAAAATACTATTATGCATTAAACTGTTCAAAATTTGATGACATATACACTTTAATGTAAAATTTCCAAAACAAGCACTCTGACTTCACTACTCTTGAGGTGATGCTTACTCATCTATGTAAATCAGTTCATTTTGATAATCCAAGTAAAGCTAATGTTCTAATGATTGAATTTTTACTTGAATCTAAGTCCTTGTCTCAACTATACTTTTGAAAGCTTTGCCTATGTTCTATCTATTAAAGCCCATATAGTTTCTAAGGTCAAAATTTCCAGTTTTAATATTCCATTGGAAGGGCTGTCTCACTTCTCCCAAATATACTTGTTAAAAACCAAAGGGGCCAGGCACAGTGGCTTACACCTGTAATCCCAGCACGTCAGGAGGCCAAGGCAGGCAGATCACCTGAGGTCAGGAGTTCAAGATCAGGCTGGCCAACGTAGTGAAACCACATCTCTACTAAATATACAAAAATTAGCCGGTGTGGTGGCACGAGCCTATAATCCAATCTACTCAGGAGGCTGAGGCGGCAGAATCACTTGAACCCAGGAAGCAGAGGTTGCAGTGAGCTGAGATCATGCCACCACACTCCAGCCTGCACAACACAGCAAAACTCCTCTCAAAAAAAAAAAAAAAAAAAAAAAAAAAGGAAGGCCAGGCACAGTAGCTCACAACTAAACTCCCAGCACTTTGAGAGGCCAAGAAGAGAAGAGAGGATCCCTTGGGTCCAGGAGTTTGAGACCAGCCTGGGCAACATGGTGAGACCCCATCTCTACATTTTAAGAAAAAAGAAAAAGAAAAGCAATTTGTAGACAGCAAAGCAGTATCACTTCACAGAGTTTGCTGTCTTTATAGATGGGAGGAAGCCGTTTCATTTGCATTTGTTTCAAAATTACATGAAAATCACAGGAAAAGCTCTGAAAAATGGCAGACTATGCACATATTACTTTGATACAATGCAATAAAGATGAACTGAACTGCTGACCGAACTAAAAAAATTTTTTTAATCACTTTTTAAAATATCAAACAGAGGTAGTCCACATTATGGACTAATGACCTTCAAATCTTTTCAAATATTTTCTTTCATTTTAAATCATTATCAAATAGTTTTGTCTTAAAAAGTTACCACATGAATGTATAAGCATAGTGCAAAATTTTCATTTCTAAAATTTTAATTTCTAATTTAAATGTAAACTACTTATTTTAAAAGATTCAAGTTCACTGAGTAACATACTACATTCCAATGGCTTACACAAATTAATTTTTTTTTTTTTTTTTTTTTGAGGCAGGGTCTCACTCCAACGCCCAGGCTGGAGTATGGAGTGCAGTGGTGCAATCATGGCTCACTGCAACCTCAATCTACTGGACTCAAGCAATCTTCCCACCTCAGCACCCCAAGTTGCTGGGTCTACACATGTGCACCAGCATGCCCGGCTAATTTTTGCATAAAATAACTTTTTTTTTTTTTTTTTTTTTTTTTTTAATTAAACGGAGTCTCTCTCTGTCACCCAGGTTGGAGTGCAATGGCGCAATCTTGGCTACGGGCAACCTCCACCTCCCAGATTCAAGCAAATTCTCCTGCCTCAGTGTCCCAAGTAGCTGGGATTACAGGCGACTGCCACCATGCCCAGCTAATTTTTGTATTTTTGGTAGAGAAGGGGTTTTACCATGTTGGCCAGGCTAGTCTCAAACTCCTGACATCAAGTGATCCACCCACCTCGGCCTCCCAAAGTGCTGGGATTACAGGTGTGAGCCACCATACCTGGCCTAGAATTTCTCTTAATAAAAATTAATAATTTCCTATTTTGAGAGCTTTTACACTACAGCAATCATTTAATAATCCTTTCAAGTGAACTTCTGATTAAAGTGAATGTTATAAAACTATGATTTAAATATTTGCTTTGTCTACTTACTTCTGTGCTCCCTGAGACAACAGCTTTGTCCACGTTCACTAACAATGGTTCTTCCATCTGGCATACTCCTAGTGACCACTCCACACAACGGTGATGAGCCCAACAAGTGCCTAAAATGGGAAAAATGAAAAGGAGCAAATGAGCAAACATTAAAAAAATTAAAGCTAATAAATAAAGACATAAAACTTCAAAATCAACTCTAATATGTAAATATACAATGGCATCCTGTATTTGTGATAGCAGTAAAGTGGCCCTTCTAAAAATGTGGACCAACCACTGAGTGCCAGTATCAATATCAAACTGAGAAATTCTTAGAAATACAGAATCTGTCTGGGTGCAGTGGCTCACTCCTGTAATCTCAGCACTTTGGGAGGCCAACGCTGGTGGATCTTTTGAGGCTGGGAACTTGAGACCAGCCTGGCTAACATGGCAAAACCCTGTCTCTACAAATTAGCTGGGCGTGGTGGTGCACGCCTGTAATTCCAGCTACTCAGGAGGCTGAGGCATGAGAATCGCTTGAACCCAGGGGACAGAGGTTGCAGTGAGCTGAGATCGCACCACTGCACTCCAGCCTATGCAACAGAGCAAGACTCCGTCTCAAAATAAAAACCAAAAAAATGCAGAAGCGCAGATCACAAGTGAGATCTACTGAATCAAAAACTCGTGCAGTGGGGCCCAGCAATCTGTGTTTGGTTCTGTTTTTTTTTGTTGTTGTTGTTTTGTTTTGGTTTTGAGACAGGGTCTCACTTTTTTTGTTGCCCAGGCTGAAGTTCAGTGGCATGAACACAGCTCACTGCAGCCTCAACCTCCAGGGTTCAAGCAATCCTCCTGTCTCAGCCTTGCCAAATAGCTGGGACTACAGGCACATGCCACCACACTCCGGGAATTTTTTTCATTTTTTGTAGAGACAGGGTTTCACCATGTTGCCCAGTCTGGTCTTGAACTCCTGAGTTCAAGCGATCCACCTACCTCAGCCTGCCAAAGTGCTGGGATTACGGGCTGTGAGCCACCGTGCCCTGCCAGCAATCTGTGATTTAACAAGCCGTCTGGTTATTATGATGCACACACAAGTTTAAGAATAACTGAATTAGTGATTATTTCTTCAACAAACAAAATTAGTTTTTAGTCATTTTATTTAAATATTATATATGTATTTGATATGTTTCTGGTATCTTTATATAAAGCAAACAAAGTATTACTTAGTACTTTGTTGAGGTGATATACAAAGGAAATGTATAGAAAATAAACTACACATACACCTCTACTTCCCTCATCCCACAGTGAGAGCACGTATCAATGATTATTAACACTTCAGCCTTTAAATTATCCATCACATAACACTTGAACCACTATCAGTCAATCTGCAGTTCAACTACAGAATGAGATGTACTTTAAATTCCAGTAGCACCATATCATGAGTGCTGAGTTACAATACTGTTATAATAAGATAATCTACCCGGCTAAGACCTATTTTCATTCATGCCCAAATAAAATAGACTCAGAATGCCACATTCCCCAAGTTCTCACTTTAAAATTTTCCCCTTTAAAATTTTCTCTTTTCTCAATTGTCAGATCTCCATGGCACCGCTATCTACACAAGAAAAAATACAAGTATTTTAAAAAGCATCCAGTCCGGTGGTGGTACTGTACAGATTTTAAATAGATAAACCTTTTCTTTTACCTAACCAGGCATATTTAATAATGATTTTTTTATAGTATGATTATAATTATTTCTAGATGAAAGGTATTTATTATTGAGGACATTAATAATGTATTAAAATTAAAATGCTTCCAGAATTAAGAGGCAGTCATTATTGAAAACATGCCCATACCTGTAGAATCAAATAAGGCTTGGATATCAATGGCATCTGGAAGCCCAACCAGACTGAGTTCATCCCACAGTTTACCAGCTTGATCATCTGAAGCTGTCTGGGTGCTTACACTTACACAAGATACTATATTCTGCTGAGGAGATCGTTCTCTGAAAATAAAATAAAATAACTGTGAAAGTGAAAACAAGCAGAAAATTGTTTCATTTTTAACTGTTTAAATGCAATGTACTGCCAAATCAATTTTAATTTATCAGCCATTAACTGTCATAAAACAACTTTTAGAATTCATCTGTTAGTATTATCCATGGTATAATATTAAACTGGGTTGCCATATTATATCGTATAAGTAACAAGTAAGAAAAAGAGTCTCCAAACCCACAGGGAAGTATTAAATTGTAAATTTGTTTTTCCATTCCATAATATAATGTTTTTAAAACCAACTCTCATATCCTAGTCAGGAATTGTATTTAACACATAAACTGAGTATTTCCTTTGGCTTTACTTAAACGCTTACAAAACAAAACTTGATCAAATCAGAAATGTTTAGTCTGCTGTATCTTGACTGAGGACTGCCACAACAGAGGTGGCAGTTAACTGTGTAAAGAAAGGATATTTTCCAGGGAAAATGAAAACCCACTACAGAGTGTGAAAACAGAGGCAGGAGGAATGGAATGTATCAGCTGTAGCTTTCTTATGGTCCCGTCAACAAATCTCAACAGCTGGTCTGTGGCATGACGTTGCAAGTACTCTCAATCAAGACTGTATGTCACAAATTGGAAGTAAAAAGCAAAAGCAAAATAGCTACCAAAGGCATGTAGAATAAGGAAGATAGTATAACAGCAAAAACTATAGTCTAAAAAAAGAACATTGAATAAAGTAAACAACATATGGGAGATTTCAGGCTTTCAAGGTCTAACACTTTAGGTATTATTTAAGACCATTAAATAAATAAAAATGGCTATTGTACTTAATTATTAAATATGGGAAATCAGATGACTACCACTAAAACTTAAATCTTCTCCTAATATCATAGTATTTAACCTGATCATAATTCTGGATTAAATCACTATTGAATATAGATCATAACTCACTGCACTTCTGTATGCTGGATATTTATCATGATTCCTATTAAGAGAAAATCAGCACAATGACCAGGGTACTAAACATTTTTATACCTGGAATCATTGAAAGAAAAAAAGTATTAACATATTTCAATAAGTACATTTAAATATCAAACCATATAAAAATAACCAGTAATGTTTTTATGTTCAGCATTAGAAATGCATAGACTTTTTTTAAAAGGTATAGCATGCTATGCTAACTTTAAATTCTCATTTTAATAAATGCCCACAGTAAAATGAGAACAAATTCTTTCCTATAAGTATAATCTCTATTCCTACAAATATATGCTCCATTACAAATCATTGTTATTTTATTGGGAGAAAAAAAAAAGACCAACAGTTCATCTATAACTACTAAATGTTGTTTTAGCATACTGTTTTGCACTAGTATTTGATGAGGGAAAGGGGTGTAAAAAAACCAAGAGAATGACTAATTTATTACTAATCAGGTCCTAACCAGCAGCTTAATCAAATTCAACCTTCAAGTTTTGAGACTGGTTTGTATGTATATACCATATCAGTAAGATATCAATGTCAACACTAAGGATGACAGCAGCCCAGCTTAGAAAGAGATATCAAGAGGAATCAGCTGAAATGCATACCCACAAAATTCTTAGTTATAAAACAAAAAAAGGAAAAAAATTCTTGATTTTTTTATTTAGTGAAAATGAGCAAAGACATTTTCAAAACCTTTGTAAAATTGTTTTTTAAATTAACTAGCTATTTAAACTTCATTAGCAACATACATTTTGTAAATATTTGAAATCATTACCAAGCTAAATTAATTGCCTACCCTTCAATGATGCCAAATTTTTAAGTGTACTTCATTAACTGCCATATTATCATTACTTATTAAGTTGGTAAGCACTAAGTATATATAAAGACTTTCGTTTAACAAAGGCTATTTTTATATAATTATCTGAGCTCATAAGAATTTTCACTAAAAATTAATTTCACTTTTAAAACAAGGAAATGAAACCAATTCCATTTCTCAGGAGAGGATTTTATATAATTGCCATTATTTAAGGCAGAACATGAGGATATAAGATACAGCCTGATTCACTCCATTAAATTTGCTAATAGACATTTTAAGTTTGCTGGCCTTTTGATTATTTTATTAAGATGTGTGTACTCAACTGACAACTAAAGAAAAAGCTATAGCCTCCAAAACATCACAACTCTCCAAATATAGTACTTCTAAGTTTCCTTAAACTGTTCCACCTTAAATTCTTTTAAAAGATTCTCCCTCTTTTTATTGTTTCATTTCCTACTTCAGGTCTTCAAGGCATTGGCAGCAGTTCAAAACAATGAGCCAATCAAATAAGTACAACACAACAATGATTTAGTACTTAAATTTGGATATAAGCCAGATAAGCACTTGAGTGATTACATCATAACCCTCAAGAGGCAGTGTTAGCTTTGCAAGCTAAATTAATTTTTACACATTCTCATCAACTACAGAAACTTCTACTCCCTTAACCAGCACAGCCAAGTCTCCATATTAATATGGTCTTTAAACACAACTGTACAAAATATTTTAAACTATATCAGACAAGACCTTTAGGTAATTACAATGTGCCCGTGAATACAGACATACACACATCATTACAAAAAAAAAATTCCTTAAAAAAGAAAAAAGCATCTTCTGGGAGGGAAGGCAGGGGAGGGAGGGAGGGAAGAATGTATAGGACAGTGCAACATTTTCTGAAGCACACAAACTTATATATAAATTAAATAAATGACTGAATGGATTGATGAATGAATGACACAAAAGACATGAGTAGTGAAAACCAATTCTGGATTTGCTATTGTATTATGTTATATTCTTAAAATTAAAAGCTTATTTAGAGAAACAAAAGAAGGACTTTATTGATCTGTTTTATTATTACATTATTTCCATTTATAAATTCCATGAACTCCCTCCCTCTCAGCTTGTGTTATGTTCTTTGAAGTTTTCTTCCAAAAGTTTAGTTTTGTGATCACACCGCTTTCATATACAATTAATATAAACTTTTTAAAAAATAACAAGAAAAATTTGTGAAAAGGATAGTTTGTTGGATTAATTGGGTTAATGGTGAGTCAGAGTATCCCATAAATGTGGAGAACAGGAGAAACTGTTCAACAAGAACAATCCCATTTGAAAATTTATAAACATTATAATGGAAATAAATTATATGCAGTCTTAATCTATTCCAACATTTAAAGTCGAAACTGCTTACTTTCTCTGTCCTCTTTGTTTTCGTGGTGCTGAGTTTTGCATTTTCTCATAGGTTCCATTGCTGTTGTCATCAATGTCCTTCTTGTTAGAAGGTTGGTTTCTCCATGGCAAGATAAATCCAGGCGTTATTCTGAATTGTTTTAAGTCTCCTTGTCCTAAGGAACTTTTTTCCCCACAGTAACAAAAAGCGCAGAGCTGTTCACTAGTAAAAATGAAATGTAAGTCAGAGAAGGAGAAAAGTAGCTTTATTCAACTGCTTTAAGCGATAACTATAGATACTTGTGCTTTTAAATTATGTCTAAAGCACAAGCTAAGCTTTTCAATCTATTTTCTACAGTCTATTCAGTGATTACCCATAAGAACAATTAAGTTTAATAATTATACATTTGGAATTCTACTTTTCCATAGCATTTTAAAAAGTAGTACACATATCAAATCCAAAAAATTCTAGTTAGCAGTTAGAAAAGTTATTTTCTTTTATATTTGACTAGAAAAAAATCCAAGTAAGAAAGCTAAAGGTGGGGGCCAAGCACGGTGGCTCATGCCTGTAATCCCAGTACTCTGGGAGGTGGAAGTTCGAGACCAGCCTGTCCAACGTGGTGAAACCCCATCTCTACTAAAAATACAAAAATTAGCTGGGTGTGGTGGCACACCCCTGTAATCCCAGCTACTCGGGTGGCTGAGGCACCTCGCTTGTATCCGGGAGGTAGAGGTTGTAGTAAGCTGAGATTGAACCACTGCACTCCAGCCTGGGTGACAGAGCAAGACTCTGTCTCAGGAAACAAAAAAAATGCAAGTTAAAAATGGGAAAGAAGGTAGAGTTTAGTAGCCACCCAACTGTATGACAGTTCTGTAAAACATATGGTGACAGTTTTATTTAACCACTTGATAGAACGTTCATTATGCATGATATATATATACCACACACATGCATACACACGGGGAGATATAAAAATATAAACTTAAATAGTTCCTGGGTTGAGTGGTAGTAGATTTTTAGGGAAGCAGAAGAGCTGAACTGGAAGAAGGAAAGGGATGATTAGGAGCAAAGGGGATTTTTTAGGCCAGTGAAACCATTTTATATGATACTATAATGGTAGATACTGAGCCCTAATGTAAACTATGGACTGTAGTTAAAAATAATGTATCCATATTGGTTTACCAACTGTAACACAGCACACAATACTAATCATGAGGGAAACTGCTGGGGGTAGAGGTGGGAGAATGAGCTCAATTTTTGTGTAAACCTAAAAATGCTCTAAGTCTATTAATAAAAAAGGAGAAAACATTAAAAAATTAAGAGACAACAATCAATATACATATATAGAATATACACTTACTAAGAGATCTTAGAAAGAATGAAATTAAAAGGACTGCTTCCTCTTGATTATATTTACACTTCACAAGATATTTACTGCTGCTATACCCAAATCCTCCTTCTTGGGCATTAAAGTTACCTCTACAGTATTTACCCCATGATCTTACATATCTTGCATTACCAGGTGATAGAACTAACCTATAGCCTTTTGAGGTGACTTTTTAAAACTTAGGTTTAAATCATATTGGACTCTCAACTAATTACTTTTATCAAAATTAGCTTTGTTTTTGTAATAAATTACCTATTTCAAGTTCATGAGAAACTATGTTGTCTGCTGGTACCGAGACATACACAAATTAAATGTAGTGTAATTTCAAAAAAAAAAATCAAGTCAAGTTGAAAAAGAAAATTTCTTCTTTCCAAAAAGAGACCACCACCTTATGCTTTGCCAGTATCTTACTATCCCCTTATTTGTAATGTTCTCTGAGCTATTAAGCTTACATTTATTTCACCATATCCCATTTCTGGTTTGTTTCTTCCCCTAGAAACACTACCCATGAGAAGCAACAATCAGATTGACATTAGTCTTATCAACATTGATTGTAACAGCACTGATTAGAAAATGGAGCAATATTTTAAAGCTATTGCAGAAAAATACCTTAGCATTCAATTTTATATTCAAAACTATCGCTTAAATGTGAAGGTATAATAAAATTACTCTCTGGCTTAGAAGACCTCAGAAATTTTGCCAGACAACAGATCAAAAATGAAAATACTTTTAGAGAAGTACTTAAATTATTAAAGAATTAGAAAAGGTTGTATGAAGTAAGGGAGGTCAAACACCTCAGAGTAATTTATTGTTGACTTTTTTTTAATACGAGGTCAAGGGAAATTTCTAGCTTTTGGTCTGGCTGTAGAAAGCTGCAAACAACATTGTGCCCAACCACACAACATAACCCAACCAGAGAATCTGCAAATTCACTTTTCTGAAACCCATCAGAGGGCAGAAATCACAAGGCAACCAACTCACCACCAAATGAAAGACACTTCCATAAAGAAATGTGACAATAGCACCTCTGAGGAAGAGGCCACTGATATCATACCAGCAGGGTGATAAGAACTCAGTAAAAATTTTTAAGAAATTGCTAGAAGCCAAGTGTGAAACACAGTGAGACTATGTTAACACCTGTGACCAAAGACAGGGGAATTCTAACCCACACAAAGGCTCCTCTTCATGTACCTCATTAGATGTCACGCACTACAGCAACTCAGCCAGGAACAGTGGCTCACACTGCAACCCCAGTGCTTTGGGAGGTCAAGGCAGGAGGATTGCTTAACCCCAGGATTTTGAGACCAGCCTGGGCAACATAGTGAGACCCTGCCTGTATTTTAAAAAGAAAAAGAGGATGGGCATGGTGGCTCACACCTGTAATCCCAGCACTTTGGGAGGCCGAGACGGGCAGATCACAGGTCTGGAGTTCGAGACCAGCCCAGCCAACATGGTGAAACCCCGTCTCTACTAAAAATACAAAAATTAGCCAGGCATGGTGGCAGGCGCCCGTAATCCAAGCTACTCGGGAGGCTGAGGCAGGAGAATCACTTAAACCCAGGAGGCGGAGGTTGCAATGAACTGAGATCGTGCCACTGCACTCCAGCCTAGGCGACAGAGCAAGACTCCACCTCAAAAACAAATAAAAGAAAGAAAAAACATATATACAGTGACTAAAAAACATTTTCTAAAATAGCATACGAAATCTTACTAGCCATTACAATAATGTAAACCAAAACCACCAATTAAAAGGCAAAAATCACCAATTAAAAGACCATTTTTGAGATTAGATTAAAATTAGATCTAACAATTGGGTGCAGCTGGGTGTGGTGGCACACACCTGTAATCCCAGCACTTTGGGAGGCCTAGTTGGGCAGATCACCTGAGGTCAGTTCGAAATCACTCTGGCCAACATGGTGAAGCACACACCACCCACCCACCCCCTCCCCATCTCTACTAAAAATACAAAAAAATTAGCCAGGCATTGATGGTGTGCGCCTGTAATCCCAGCTACTCGGGAGGCTGAGGCAGGGGAATTGTTTGAACCAGGGAGGTAGAGGTTGCAGTGAGCCGAGATCGCACCACTGCCCTCCAACCTGGGCAACAGAGCAAGACTCCATCTCAAAAAAAAAAAAAAAAAAAAAATAGGTGCAAAAAATGTTGGAAGTATAAACACAAATGACATATAAAACAAGGACAAAAATGTTGATGGGAAAAGAGGTAAAAAGATACCAGGCAAACATAAACCAAAAGGAAGTTTGAGTGGCAATAATTTTATCAGACAAAATGAAAGTTATGTCAAAAAGAAAACATGACATTAGAGATGAAAAAGATGTTACACACTAACAAAATGATGAATAGTATAATAGATATCGATCATAACCATATACTCAGACCAACATGAATCTGGTCTCAAAATGAATCTCGAATCTGAAAGAGATGGTTAAGCATCTCCAATCTGAAAATCCAAAATCTGAAATGCTCCGAAATTCAAAACTTTTTAAGCACCAACATGATATCACAAGTAGAAAATTTCACACCTAAGTACTTAATATAAACTTTGTTTCAAGCATAAAATTACTTAAATATTCTATAAAATTACCTTCAGGCTATGTGTATAAGGTATATACGAAACATAAATGAATTTCTGTGGGCAGCAAGCCACCCAGGTGCCGAGGCAAGAGACCAAGGGCACGAGCTGTTCCAGTATAACAAAATATATAAAATAAGAATAGTTATATAGATCATAGATATGATTATACATGAATATCATTAATCATTAGTTTGTAGCAATTACTCTTTATTCCAATATTATAATAATCCTCACTCTACAATCATAACCTAGGAAAAACCAGGCCATACAGCAATAGGAGCTGAGGGGACATAGTGAGAAGTGACCAGAAGACAAGAGTGCGAGCCTTCTGTTATGCCCAGACAGGGCCACCAGAGGAGTCCTTGGTCCCAGCGTCTGGGAAGACACCTGTTGCCAAGTGGACCGTGGTCTAGCGGTAGCGTCAGTGTCAAGGAAAAACACCCACTACTTAGCAGACCGGGAAAGGGAGTCTCTAAACTCTTTTAGAGTTTAGAGAAGACTCTACTCCTCCACCTCTTGTGGAGGGCCTGACATCAGTCAGGCCCGCCCGCAGTTATCCAGAGGCCTAACCGTCTGCCTGTGATGCCGTGCTGCAGTGGTCACGCTCCTAGTCCGCCTTCATGTTTCATCCTGTACAGCTGGCTCTGCCTTTTAGATAGCAGTAGAAAATTAGTGAAAGTACTAAAAGTCTCTGATAAGCAGAAATAATGGCATAAGCTCTCCCTCTCCCTCTCCCTTTCCCTCTCTCTGCCTCAGCTGCCAGGCAGGGAAGGGCTCCCTGTCCACTGGACATGTGACCCACGTGACCTTACCTATCACTGGAGATGGCTCACACTCCTTACCCTGCCCCTTTGTCTTGTATCCAATACATATCTGCGCAGCCTGGCATTCAGGGCCACTACCGGTCTCCGCGTCTTGGTGGTAGTGGTCCCCCGGGCCCAGCTGTCTTTTCTTTTATCTCTGTCTTGTGTCTTTATTTCTATACTCTCGTCTCCGCACACGGGGAGAAAACCCACCGAACCTGTGGGGCTGGACCCTACAAATTTCATGTTTATACATGTCTCCCATCCCCAAAATATCTTATTATGTATGTGCAAATATTCCAAAATCCAAAAAAAATCCAAAATCCAAAACACATCTGGTCCCAAACATTTTGTTTTTGTTTTTTTTGAGATGGAGTCTCACTCCGTTGTCCAGGCTGGAGTGCAATGGTACGGTCTTGGCTCACTGTAACCTCCACCTCCTGGGTTCAAGCAATTCTCCTGCCTCAGCCTCCCGAGTAGCTGGGACTACAGGCACACGCCACAACATCTAGCTAATTTTTGTATTTTTAGTAGAGACGGAGTTTTGCCATGGTGGCCAGGCTGGTCTCAAACTCCTGGCCTCAGGTGATCCACCTGCCTTGGCCACCTAAAGTGATGGAATTACAGGCATGAACCACCACACCTGGCCTGTCCCAAGCATTTTGGATAGGAGAAACTCAACCTGAGTTTCTCAGAACAAAACTGGAAGACTAAAAAAATTAAATCAACAACAGTGGAAGATTTTAATTATTTTTCTCAGAAAATACTATGTCAAACCAATAAAAATTAAGTATTGAACATCTTTATTGTTCATTATTTATTAATTACCTGAGCATAATAAATTAGTTTGAGATACTATATTCAGCTCTATCTACAACTAACGGTTCACATTCTTTTCAAGTATATTAAAATATTTCAAGAGTGGATTACATAGTAGGCCATAAAAGAATACATGATACATAGCAAGTGACCAACATCATGCAGGCAACATTCTCTGACAATAATGCAGTAAAACTAAAAATGTATAATAAATGGATAACTTAAAATCTTCTGGCCAGGTGCAGTGGCTCATGCCTATAATTCCAACACTTTAGGAGGCTGAGGCAGGTGGATCACCTGAGGTCAGCAGTTTGAGACCAGCCTGACCAACATGGCGAAACCCCGTCTCTACTAAAAATACAAAAGTTAGCTGGGTATGGTGGCACACGCCTGTAGTCCCAGCTACTCAGGAGGCTGAGGCAGGAGAATCGCTTGAACCTAGGAGGTGGTGGTTCCAGTGAGCCAAGATCGCACCATTGCATAGCCTGGGCAACAGAGCAAGACTCCCTTTCAAGAAAATAAATAAATAAATAAATAAATAAATTTGGAAACTAGAAAAGATATTGTTTAAGAATCTTTCACTTAAAATGGAAATCCCAATATGTGAAATAAAATCATAATGAAAATACTGAATATAAAATTGATATAAAATATAAAATACTGAATATAAAAATTTCAATATATTACTGGAAGTCCTAGGCAGAGCAATATGGTCAAGAGAAAGACATAAGGGATCCCAGTAGGAAAGGAAGAAGTGAAACTGTCTTTATTTGCTGATGGCATGATCTTATATATGGAAAACCCTAAAGACTCCACCAAAAAACTGTTAGAACTAATAAACAAATTTGATAAAGTAGCAGGATACAAAGTAAATATACAAAAATCAGTAGCATTTCTATATACTAACAGCAAACGATCCTAAAAGAAAATTAATGTAATAATCCCATTTACAATAGCAACAAAAAAATTAAATACTTAGGTGTAATTTCAACCAGGGAGGTAAAAGACCTGTATACTGAAAACCATAAAACTCACAAAAGAAATTTAAGAAAACATCAAGAAATGGGAAGATATCCTATGTTCATGGACTGGAAGAATTAATACTGTGAAACTAACTGTCCATACTACCCAAAGTGATCTACAGATTCAATGCAATATCTATCGAAATTCCAATGTCAATTTTCACAGAAATAAATTATCCTTAAATTTATATGGAAGCACAGAAGACATCAAACAGCCGAAACAACCTTGAGCAAAAAGA
Organism: Homo sapiens; assembly: GCF_000001405.40. Classification (NCBI taxonomy): domain Eukaryota; kingdom Metazoa; phylum Chordata; class Mammalia; order Primates; family Hominidae; genus Homo; species Homo sapiens. The sequence continues at coordinate 152,321,980 of NC_000007.14, forward strand.
ACAATGCTGGATGCATCACCCTGTCTGATTTCAAAACATTACAAAATGATTGTAATCAAAATAGTATGGTACTGGCACCAAAAAAAAAAAAACCATACATCTGGACAGGCATGGTGGTTCACACTTGTAATGCCAGCACTTGGGTAGGCTGAGGCAGGCAGACTGCTTGAGCCCAGAGTCTGAAACCAGCCTGGGCAACATGGTGAAACCCCGTCTCTACTAAAAATACGAAAATAAGCCAGGGGTGGTAGTGAACACCTGTAGTCCCAGGTACTCAAGAGGCTGAGGTGGGTGGACGGCTCCAGCTCAGAAGACAGAGGTTGCAGAAAGCCAAGATCACACCACCGCACTCCAGCCTGGGCTACAAATACCACCCTGGCTCAAAAAACAAGAAGACACATCGACCAATGGAACAGGAATGAACTCACGCATTTACACTAAGTTGATTTATAACAAAGATGCCAAGAAAACACAATGGGTAAAGAACTGTCTCCTCAATAAATGGCACTGAAAAAACTGTATATCCATATGCACAAGAATAAAATCATACCCTTGTCTCACATAACACAAAAAATCAATTCAAAATAGATGAAAGTCTTATGTTTCGGATGTCAAACTATAAAACTACTAGAATAAAACATAGGGAGAAAGTTCCATGTGGGCAATAACTTTTTGGATATGACCCTGAAAGCATAGGCAACAAAAGCAGTAATAGACAAATGGGATGGCTAAACCACCAAGCTCCTTACGGCAAATGAAAATATTAACAAAGTAAAGAGACAACCCACAGAATGGGAGAAAATATTTAATATCCAAAATATATATGGAACCCAAATAAACAGCAAGAAAACAACCTGATTAAAAAATGGGCAAAGGACCTGAACAGACATTTCTCAAAAGAACACATACAAATGGCCAACAGGTACATGAGAAAATGTTCAGCATCACTACTCATTAGGGAAATGAAAATTAAAACAAGTATATATCACGTAACACCTGGCTATTGGCTAACACCTAACAAATGGCTACTATTAAAAAGATGAAAGATAAGTATTGCCAAGGATACAGAAAAAATGGGAGTCCTGTACATTGCTGTGGGGGTGTCAATTAGTATAGCCATTATGGAAAATGGTAAAGAGGTTCCTCAAAAAACTAAAAATAGAATTACCATATAATCTAGTAATCACACTTCTGGGTATATATCCAAAGGAACTGAAATCAATGTCAAAAGGATATCTGCATGCCCATGCTTACTACAGCATTACTTACAATAGCCAGATATGGAATCAACCTAAGTATCCATCAATAGATGAATGGATAAAGAAAACATGGTATATATAAACAATGGAATACTATTCAGCCTTGAAAAGCGGGAGGATGGGGAGTGGTGGCTCATGCCTATAATCCCAGCACTTCGGGAGGCCAAGGCTGGAGGACTGCTTGAGCCCAGATATTCAAAACCAGCCTGGGCAACACAGTAAGACTCCATCTCTACATAAAATTTTAAAAATTAGCCTGGTGTGGTGAGCACACAACTGTAGTCCCAGCCACTTGGAGGCTGTGGTGGGAGGATTGCCTGAGCCCAGGAAGTTGAGACTGCAGTGAGTTGTGAGCATGGCACTGTACTCCAGCCTGGGCAACAGAGTGACACCCTTTCAAAGAAAAAAAAAAAGAGAGAGAAAGAGAAAGAAAGGAAGGAAAGAAAAAAAGGAAAGAAGGAAGGAAGGAAGGGAAGGAGGGAGGGACGAAGGGAGAGAAGGAAGGAAAAAAGAGGGAGGGAAGGGGAGGTAGAAAAAGAGGGGGAGGGGAAGGGAAGGGAGGCAGGGAGGGGAGGGGAAGGGGATTAAGGAAGAGTGGGGAGAGAGAGAGAGAGAGAAGCGGGAGGGACCTGTCATCTGCAACAACTCAGATGAATCTAGAGGATATCATGCTAAGTGAAATAATCCAGGCACAGAAAGACAAATACGGCATGATCTCACTTATATGTAGAATCTAAAAAAGTTGAACTAAAAGAACCAGTAGTAGAGTGATGGTAACCAGACACTCGGAGAAGGTAAGGCAGGAAGAAGGAAATAGTAAGTTGTTGGTCAAAGGATATGAAGATTGAGATAGGAGGAATAGGTTTTGAGATATACTACATAGTAGGGTGACCTATATTTTAAAATAACAATTTGGTGCAAAGGATACGAAGGTTGAGACAGGAGGAATAGGTTTTGAGATACAGTGCATAGCAGGGTGACCTATATTTTAAAATAACTATTAGTTTGGTGCAAAAGTGATTGTGGTTCTGCCATTAAAAGTAATGGCAAAAACCGCAATCACTTTTGCACCAACTTAAGAGTAAATTTCAAGTAACAAATGAGAGTTAATCAAGGTAATGGATGTTAATTTACTTGATTCAATCATTCCACTTTGCATTCATGAATTGAAACATCACACTGTACTCATAAATGTACAATTAGGATTTGCCAATCAAAAATAACATTCAAAAATAATAAATGTATCATGAATCATTTTAGATAAAATGTATATGTTCTGAGAAAAATATAACATGAGAAAATTGGTACAAGATGAAACAGACAGCTGAATAGAAAAAAATTTGGAAGTGGGGAGCAAATTTATGGAATACATATTCCAAGAAAAAAAATCTTTGAATTGAACTGGTAATGACTTCATTTTCTAGAAGAAACCCCACAGACCCATGTAATTTTATGACAGTTACTTCAGACCTACATGGAGTCAATTCCTGTCTTAAACTAGCTGTTCCAGAAAATAAGAAAACTGAAAGATGCCTCACACACGAGGCTAGTGTAATTTTGTCTCCAAAACTAGGACATTACAATATTACAAAAATTCATATTGCTTATGAACATAAACAAAATATTAGCTAACTAAAACCCAACAGCATGTTTAAAAAATGTCATAATCAAGTAATGTTTATTGAAAGTAATCGAGTAATGTTTATTGCAAGTAATCAAGTAATGCTTACTGCCTTCTACAGAAGCTTCTTCTTATTGCATTGTTTTGCTTCATTTTTAAATACATATGAACATAAGTTCTTTGTTAGTTATATGCTTTAGAAATATTTTTCCCTTTTCTGTCATTTATCTTTTTACTCTTGGTATTTTTCATGAAAAGTTGTAAATTTAAGTATAGTGGTATTAATCAATCCTTTTCTTTTCTTTTTTTGAGATGCAGTTTCTCTCTTGTCGCCCAGGCTGGAGTGCAATGGTGCGATCTTGGCTCACTGCAACGTCCACCTCCCAGGTTCAAGCAATTTTGCCTCAGCCTCCCAAGTAGCTGGGACTACAGGTGCCCACCACCACGCCCAGCTAATTTTTGTATTTTTAGTAGAGATGGGGTTTCACCATGTTGGCCAGGCTGGTCCCAAACTCCTGACCTCAGGGATCCACCCACCTTAGCCTCCCAAAGGGCTGGGATTACAGGCATGAGCCACCGCACCCGGCCCCTTTTCTTTTTATGTGTGTTTTTTTTTTTTGAGACAGGGTCTCACTATGTCACCCAGGCTGGAGTGCAGTGGCAGGATCACAGCTCACTACAGCCTCGACCTCCTGGGCTCAAGCGATCCTCCCACCTCAGCCTCCTGAGTAGCACCACCAAGTCCTACTAATTTTTGTATTTTTTGTAGAGACAGGGCTTTGTCATGTTCAAGTCAGGCTGGTCTCGAACTCCTGGGCTCAAGCAATCCTCCTGCCTCAACCTCCCAAAGTGCTAGGATTATAGGCATGAGCCACTGTGCCTGGCCAATCAACCCTTTTCTATAATTAGGGCTTTCCATTTGTTTTTTAAAAGTCTTTCCTTACCCCAAAGCAATGAAGAAATTCCTCTACATTAACTTCTTTTATTAATTTGCTTCTCACGTGTTAAGTCTATAAATTAACTGGAGTAGACATGAATAAATTAGGTCTTTCTTTTTTTTTTTTTTTAAAGTATGTCTAATTGTTCTAGCACAATTGTTGAAAGAGACTTCCTTCCTCACTAATTTGTGATGCCCCTTTGTTATAAATAACCTGTCCATATTAATCATGTATCTGTATCTGGGTTCCCTATTCTGATCCATTGGTCTATTTGTCTGTTTCTGTGGTAATACAGCACTGACTTAATTTATTAGTGTGTTACAAAAAGTCTTAGTATCAAGTAAAGCAATCCTTCCTCTTCTTCATGGGTCCTTTGGCTTATCCTGTCTTTTGCATATTCATATAAATTAAGATCAGCTTGTAAAATTTACTGTAGAAATTTTTATTAGAATTTTCTTGAACCTACACATCAATTGGGAAAGAATATCTTTAAAATACTGAATCCCCTAAAATGTGAGTATTATACTGCTATTATGTCTGTGATCCTTAATCTTTCCAAAAAGTTTTATAATTTTCTCTATAAAAGTCTTACATTTTTGCACATAATCCTAGTCACATATTATTTTATATTATTGGAAAATATTCTAAAAAATACCATTTAACTCTGTTCCTAATATATAAAAATACATGTGATTTTTGCATTTTGATTTTGTTATCTAGTAATCTTGCTAAAATCCTATTAATTATACATATTCATTTAGAACATTTTATATACTGCACCATTAAAATTCATTAAATTCAGGCCGGGGACGGTGGCTCACGCCTGTAATCCCAGCACTTTGGGAGGCCGAGATGTGCAGATCACGAGGTCAGGAGATCGAGACCATCCTGGCTAACATGGTGAAACCCTGTCTCTACTAAAAATACAAAAAAATTAGCCGGGTGTGGTGGCAGGCGCCTGTGGTCCCAGCTACTTGGGAGGCTGAGGCAGGAGAATCGCGCGAACCCGGGAGGCGGAGCCTGCAGTGAGCTGAGATCGTGCCACTGCACTCCAGCCTGGGCGACAGAGCAAGACTCTGTCTCAAAAAAAATAAAATAAAATAAAATTCATTAAATTCAATCTGTTCATCCTATTTTAAGGAAACTGTGGGACAGAGAGATAAAAATGAATAAATAAAGGTCAAAAAGTCGGAGCTTGGAATAAACACCAAGTCTGTATTTACAGTATGCTGGCTTTCTCAGTGTACATTCACTCTGTCCTGTCTAATGAAAATAACAGTGGTAGTGGTAGTATAGCCCAGGATAAATAAATAACAATGGCATTGCTTATTAATCTACCTCAAGGTTATTTTTCCATGTGGCATGAGCATCAATCTACCTATATTTTTTACATGGATAGCCAATTATTGAGTGACCTATTCTTTTCCACTGATAGGCCATGATTATTATAAATGAAATTATCATATATTCATGAGTAGCTTTTAACTTTCATTCTCTGTACAAGTATTAGATGAGGACTAACAGTGACAGTGTGCTACTCACAGGTGACAAAAAGATAAGTCAGTCAGGCATACTGTGTCCTTAAGATCTGCAGAAGAACCAAGCAAGAAGGTTAAGAACTACAATGGGTTCCCGAAGTAGGCCTAGAGGATACAGAGGCACAGAATACTTTCAGAAGGCTCTCAGGCACCTGCTCTAAACTAGCAAATATTCTGCATTCTGTACCTCTCAATACCACATATGCATTACACCATTTCTAATCTCTATATAACACATAGCAAAAAGTAAAGTTCATGGTAGTATCAAACTACAAAAATTTAAGCAGAACTTTAAATGCTTTTCAATCAACTAGAATTCATTATTCATTAAAAATATATTGGGCCGGGCGCGGTGACTCACGCCTGTACTCCCAACACTTTGGGAGGCCAAGGCGGGTGGATCACGAGGTCAGGAGATCAAGGCCATCCTGGCTAACACATTGAAACCCCGTCTCTACTAAAAATACAAAAAATTAGCCGGGCGTGGTGGCGGGCACCTGTAGTCCCAGCTACTCAGGAGGCTGAGGCAGAAGAATGGCGTGAACCCAGGAGGTGGAGCTTGCAGTGAGCCAAGATCGCGCCACTGCATTCCAGCCTGGGCAACAGAGCGAGACTCCGCCTCAAAAAAAAAAAAAAAAAAGAAAAAAGAAAAAAAAATTTATACAGCACCTAATCTCCGTCAGGAACTATTAAGTGCAGGACACAGTGTGGTGAACAAAGCCCACCAACAAAGTGCGTGTCTTCAGAGTTCACATGACAGTCAAATGAACTGTTGGAAAATAATAAGTGCCACAAAGAAAAATAAAGCAGGTTACTATGTAAAATATGGTGGGAGCTGCTGTTTTCTTTTCCATCCTACTCCTTTATTTTGAAAATGTTCAAACCTCCCAAAAAATATTGGAGGAGGAGGAGAGGACTACAGTATAACAAACACCAGTGTGTTCTTTCGTTGATTCACATTGTATGTTCTTTTTCCTAAGCTGACTGAGACTAAGCTGGATGTGGCCCTTCAGAGGAGGCTAGTATTATCAGCAAGGTAGCCTCTCTGGGAGGTAAGCCAGGAGACAAGCAGAGCAAGCACCAAAGCTCTCAGACAGAAACCCCATCAGCACATTTAAAAGAGTGAGGCCAATGTGGTGAGAGCACAGTGAGTGACAAATGACATGAGAGAGGCAGTCAGGAACAGATCACACCTTGTAGACATGGTAAGTACTTGAAATTATGAATATAATTTAAATATAATAGTCATGAAAGAGAGTGGAGAGTGGGGACCTGATTATCATTATTAGAATAATTTTTGCAACTGTGCTATAAACAAATTGGACTATGGAAAGGTAAAGAGAAGCAGAAAGACTGGTTAAAAGGCTACTACAACTTCCAAAGGATAACAGTGACTTCAACTAAAATGTTAGGCAAGTTAAGACACTAACAAGTTGTTTGGGTTATCGAGTTGAGCTACAAGGTATGAGAAAAGATAGAAATCAAGGATTAACTTTCAAAGTTTCTGGACTAAACAACTGAGTGAATACTGGCATTATTTATTGAAATGAGGAAATCGTAGGGAGAAGCAGATTTGGGGCAGAGGTGGAGGCAGAATCAAGCATGGTACTGGACATGTTAAGGGTGAGGTGTCTAATACACTTCCAAATAGAGACGTCAAGCAGACAGTTGGACATAAAAGTCTGGAGTTCAGGTAAAGAAGAGTAACGGAAATGAACACGTGAGACTCTTAAGGGCACACACAGAGGTTACAGCCATTAGAATGAATGAGCTTTCTTTCCCAGGGAGTGAACAGAGACAAAAAGTAGACAAGATATCTGAGGACTTATCCTTAAGAACTCCAAAATTATAAACATGTAGAGTCTCCACAGCAACTAGCAAAAGATAAAATGAGGAGTGAGATGTCCCAAAAGCAAAAGAAAGAAAATGGTTCAAGAAGATGAGAGAGGTCAGGTGCAGTGGTTCATGCTTGCACTTCCACCACTTAGGGAGGCTGAGACAGGAGGATTGCTTTAGCCCAGGAGTTCCAGACCAACCTGGATAACATAAAGAGACCCAGTCTCTACCAAAAAAAAAGCTTAAAAATTAGCCAAGTATGGTGGCACACACCTGTAGTCCCAGCCACCTGGGAGGCTAAGGTGGGAGGATCACCTGAGCCTGGGAGGTTGAGCCTGCAGTGAGCTGTGATCACACTACTGCACTCTACCCTGGGCAACAGAGTAAGACCTTGCCTCAAAAAATAAAAAAAAAAAGAAAGGAAAGGAAGAAAAGGGAAGAGGAAAAGGAAGTAGAAGGGAAACGAAGGGAGGAAGGAGGGAGAAGGGATGGAGGGGAAGGAGGGAGAAAGGGAGGGAAGGAGGGCGGGAAGGAAGGAGGGAAAGAAGGGAGGGAGACAGGTAAGGAGGGAGGGAAGGAAGGAGATGGGAGTACCAAACTGATGGATAATTTCATTATTTTATTCATGTCTTTCAAATAAGGTCTAAAAACTCTTAAAACTTCAAAGCTGAATTATACAATGATATATTACAGGCCCAGTGTAGTGGCTCATGCCTGTAATCCCAGCACTTTGGGAAGCCGAGGCAGGTGGATCATGAGATCAGGAGATCGAGACCATCCTGGCCAACATGGTGAAACCCTGTCTCTACTAAAAACACAAAAATTAGCTGGGCATGGTGGTGCATGCCTATAATCCTAGCTACTCAGGAGCCTGAGGCAGAAGACTCTCTTGAACCAGGGAATTGGAGGTTGCAGTGAGCTGAGATGGCACCACTGCACTCCAGCTTGGTGACAGAGCAAGACGCCATCTCAAAAAAAGGGAGGGGGGGAGGGGTGGTGGGGGGGGGGAGAAAAAGAAAGAAAAAAAATAGGTTATAATGTCCTGTGTTTCCTTTTTTAATGAATGGGGAGAAGGTAAGGAACAAAACTATCAACTTAAGTTTACAGGTAAGTATCAAAAATTAATCCTCATGCTAAATGCTCACATTTATGTCTTCTGCCAGGAACAGCACATTGGTAATATTCTGTACTGGCCTGAGGTGACTAGAGTAAAACCGTAGTGTGCTGCCCTGCTCTACAATTGCCTAAGCCCACAGATGTAACTCATCCCAACTAAACACAGAGGTATCAGCTTCAAATTTAGCTACTAAATCATAAAATCCCACCCAGATTTTCATCCTAAACTCATACTCCTTGAATTTTCTCTATAGTCATTTCACTGCTTTATTCCTGTCACTAATATCCAATCCAGCTGCATTCATTCTCTAACCTGATTTTGGCTTCTACACCAACAGAGACCAGGGAGTTTGCCGATTCCTCAGACACAGATCGCTGAAGAGTTGGAATTAGCTGTTTGCTGTTATCCACTTCTGCTTCAGCATCCTCTTCTGCAGATTGTTCTTTGATTTCTGCTTAACAGTAAACAAGAGAAAACAAAGAGTCATTTTTGTGTTTATTTTAATCACTGGTGAATGTATCTATAAAGCATAGGTCATAATGTAAAAAGAAACAACAAATAACAATATTTCACTAACACAAGAAAAGTTCATGCACGTAATTAGTGGTATTGTGCATCTTTATTCTCTACCGCAAAATGATTATCAAAATAATGTGAAGCATGGTATACTTTTCCTTGTGCCCAAATTATAGCTGACTCAGAGAAGTTTCATCCTAGTAATAAATGTTAAGAATCTTGGCCAGGCATGGTGGCTCATGCCTGTAATCCCTGCACTTTGAGAGGCCAAGGCAAGCAAATCCCTTGAGCTCAGGAGTTTCAGACTGGCCTGGGCAAGATGGTGAAACCTCATCTCAACAAAAAATGTAAAAATTAGCCAGGCAAGGTGGTGAGTGCTTATAATGTCAGCTACTCAGGAGGCTGAGATGGAAGGATATGCCTTGAACCTGGGAGCCAGAGGCTGCAGTGAGCTGGGATCGTGCCACTGTACTCAGGCCTAGGTGACAAAGCCAGACCCTGTCTCAAAAAAAAAAAAAGAATCTTATTTTTGGCCAGGTGTAGTGGCTCACACATGTAATCCCAGCACCTTGGGAGGCTGAGGCAGGCATATTGCTTGAGCCCAGTAGTTCAAGACAGCCTGGGAAACATGGTAACACCCCATCTCTACAAAAAATTAGCTAAGCATAGTGGCACACACCTGTAGTCCTAGCGACTCTGGTGGCTGAGGTGGGAGAATCAATCAAGCCCCGGCAGCGGAGGCTACAGTGAGCTGTGATGGCACCACTGGACTCCAGCCTAAGCAACACATCTAGATCCTACCTCAACAACAACAACAACAACAACAACAACAAAAAGATTTTTTTTTTTTTTTTTTTTTTTTTGATGGAGTCTCGCTCTGTCCACCCAGGCTGGAATGCAATGGCGCGATCTCGACTCACTGCCACCTCTGCCTCCCGGGTTCAAGCAATTCTCCTGCCTCAGCCTCCTGAATAGCTGGGATGACAGGCGCCCACCACCATGCCTGGCTAATTTTTGTATTTTTAGTAGAGACTGGGTTTCACCACGTTGGCCAGGCCGGTCTTGAACTCCTGACCTCAGGTGATCCACCTGCCTCGGCCTCCCAAAATGCTGGAATTACAGGCATGAGCCACTGTGCCCGGCCAAAAAAAAATCTTATTTCAGGATTATAGCAATTGGTCTACAGAACAAATGTATTTCAAAGTGACTCATTAAAAATTGCTTCACACTTTATAAAATCATCATTAAAAGACTCATCATGTATCTTAATTATTACCCATTCTAAAAGCTTAATATTTGAAAAGGACAAACCTTCACTTTATTGCCTTTTTCCATTCTCCTTGAATCCAACCCCAAACACCTTAAATGTTCTTTCTCAGGAGGCAGCCTAACAGCTGAGAGGATTTCCACACACCACTACCCCTAACATCATTCTTCTTGTTTAATAAAAATTATATGTCCACTCTGTCTGTCATGCTCTATTACTACAATGAAGGGACATTACACCTCCCCACCAGTGCTCATGATGCAGTTCCATGCTCTTGGCTGGCTCCTTCTTTTCTAATTTGAAATTTATTTAGACCTTTCTGCATCACTAACCCCAAACAAACAAAAACATCTTAAAGTCCTTTCAAGCGCCTCTTCTCTGTCTTTCCTTTTACCACCAAATTCATGAGATGGCATGACTGAACTCTACTACCTTCCCCTTCAACTATACCTTTCTAATTGTATCCAGCCTCCTATTATAACAATTATTCTCAGCTGGGTATGGTGATGCACACCTGTAATCCCAGCACTTTGGGAGGCCAAGGTGGGCGGATAACCTGAGGTCCAGAGTTCGAGACCAGCCTGACCAACAACATGGTGAAACCCTGTCTCTACTAAAAATATAAAATTAGCCGGGCTTGGTGGCACATGCCTGTAATCCCAGCTACTCGGGAGGCTGAGGCAGGAGAATTGCTTAAACCTGGGAGATGGAAGTTGCAGTGAGCCGAGATCATGCCATTGCACTCCAGCCTGGGCAACAGGAATGAAACTGCGTCTCAAAACACACACACACACACACACACACACACACACACACACACAAATTATTCTCGTCAACACCACCAATAGACCAACGGCAAAAGAATTAACAATCCAGTTAGCACCCACAAGCTTTCTTCAAACATCCTAAAAGTTCACTTCACACCAGGATCACTTCCTCCTTAGTGAAATGATCTTCTATCTTTTATAAGCACAGAGATATAATAGTCTAATATCTATCTCTTCAGCTGATTTCCTTTAGACCTCTAAATATAGGTACAGCCCTCTATACATCCTTTATATACTCCTGGGGTTGGGTGGTTGTTTTTGTTTTTGAGAAAAGGACTCACTCTGTCGCCCATGCTGGAGTGCAGTAGTATGATCATTCGCATTCTTGGGCTCAAGAATCCTCCCACCTCAGCCTCCCAAGCAGCTGGGACCACAGGCACATGTCACCACATTCTTTTTCATTTTTTTGTAGAGATGGGGGTCTCACTATGTTGCCCAGGCTAGTCTCAAACTCCTGGCCTCAAATCATCCTCCTGCCTTGGCCTCCCAAAGTGCCAAGAATACAGGCATGAGTCACTACTCCCAGCCTATAAGCTCCTCTTTGAAGAACTTATTATCCACATTTCAACAATTTCCTCTGGACTTTATGATTTGTAAGTCAACATCTCTAGCACTAACTCCTCTCCTGAGTTCCACACCATATTTTAACTATACACTAGACATACTTAGCAGCTTGAACACTAAATTTCACACAAAACTTTATCTCTTATCGCTCAGATTAGCACTTCAATCTGACTTCCCTCTTTAAAAAAAGAAAACTATCTTCTACATTCAAAATGAATTTTAGAAAAGTATTTTGAAAAACAATTTGTATAACTATTCTTGGGTAGTTAGAAAAAACTACAAATAATTGTAAATCCTATCAAATCATAAAACTAATGATAACATGAAGCATCAAACAGATGGTTTTGGTTTTCATACTTAAAATAACATGTTTCTTTTCTTTTTTAAAAAATTGAAATAGAAAAGCTGACCTTAAATTAAGTGTTTATACAGTCTATCAATCAAGGTGTCCTGTCTATCCCGAGACAAAATTGATAAAGTATCTAGAATCAAATCTACAAATACGTAAGCTTGTATTCAAAAGGAATAATAAAATGAAAATTTACATTTCTATGTGACAAATGACCTCATGAACAAAATGAATGTGTCACAGATGAGAGAAAATAAATACAATTTGAATCCCCCCCCAAAAAAAAAGGTATTCAGATCAAGAATAGCTAAATAACTCCAAAGATGAACAAGGCACATAAACCTGTAGAACGTAGACAAAGGGGCCGGGTGCGGTGGCTCACGCCTGTAATCCCAGCACTTTGGGAGGCCAAGGCAGGCAGATCACCTGAGGTCAGGAGTTCGAGACCAGCCTCAACATGGAGAAACCCCATCTCTACTAAAAATACAGAATTAGCCGGGCGAGGTGGTGCGTGCCTGTAATCCCAGCTATTCAGAAGGCTGAGGCAGGAGAATTGCTTGAACTTGGGAGGCGGAGGTTGCGGTGAGCCGAGATCATGCCATTGCACTCAAGCCTGGGCAACAAGAGCAAAACTCCGTCTCAAAAAAAGAAAGAAAGAAAGTAGACAAAGGACAAAATCCATACTCTTCATCTTCTATGCTTTCCAAGTTTTAGTAGGACACATAACTGCTCAGCTAGAGACTTTATTCCCCAACCCTCTTTGCAGCAAACCATGGCAAGTTCTCACCGAGAGAATATGACCAGAAGCAACTGCGCAACCTCATCATCTAAAAGGAAGTGAGCTGCTCTTCACTAAATTATAGTCCCCTTTCCTACAGACTGGAATGGACATGACAGCAACCCAGTCGCAATGCTGCCAATGAGGCGCAATGCTCCAGGTGATGGCAGAGAGACAAGACAGAAGAAACCTGGGTCAACAAACAATAATATGGAGCAAAAGACAACTCATCAGCCTATACCTCTCCATCCTCAGAAATATTACATGAGAGAAGATCAATTTGTTTTATTTAAGCCACTGCTATATTTTGGGGTCTCTGTTACAGCAGTTTAACCCATGCCCTAATTAACACAGAAAACTGGTATTAAAGAGTGAAGAATTGCCGTAACAAAATCTTCAAGTGGCTTGATCAGGCCGTGAAACACTGATAATGGAGTCTGAAAATCAACTGACCCTTTTTAGGCTATATTAAAATATTTAATATAGCTATGACCTACAACAATTTGGAATGTAGACTGTACCTACAGAGCCTGTAGCTCTAGGCAAAGCATCTGGAATGACCCAAAGGGTATTCTGTGTTGCCTCTCTCTAGTATTTTTACAGCCAAAGATAGAAAAGAATACAGTTCTGCTAGAGAGACTCTCTCTGCCTGCCTATTATATTCAAAGTACTATAAAATTATCACATATATAAATACCTGTATGAAAGCATTTCATTTCTACTCAGAGAGTCCCAGAATACATTTTGGGATATACCCATTTTATACCATTCTTACTACTGGGTAACAAGAAAGGGGAAGAGAAAAATAAGTGACAAACTTAAGGAGGAATAAGAATAGTGCCTTCAGAAACTTACCAACAATGAGCCAAATGGCCCAGGGTCGCAAATCATTACATTACCCTGAAAACACATTTTTTCCTGGAGCCAGATCCATTTGTCTCCACTCCCAAGCTGTGCTCTCTCCAATCCAGTATGACTTGTCTGCTTCCTTTTACTATGCTGCTATCTACCATATATGACCTCCAGTCAAAAATTTCCTTCTCCTAGCGAAGTATATAACAGTTTCAGCTTTTTCCTTATTTTTATCCCCAAAAAAGAAAATACATAGCACTTTTATTATTTTTAGGGGAGTTTTATTGCTTACAGCTAAGGGAAAAGAAGCAGGACAATGTCTATCTCTCCCTCAAATAAGAGCCAGAAGGAAATAGAAAAGTTAAACGTTAATGTTACTGGTTGGCCAGTAGGTTTGCAGGTATACAACCTTTTGAAATTATGTTTCCTGCATTTCAAAGAGAAAAAAACAGATTCAGACTATAGGGTTTTTTTGTTTTTTTTTTGTTTTTTAAGAAATAGGATCGGCACCAGATCTGATCCCATAAAGCAGGTAAGAAGACAGGCTTTCAGAGTTCATCCTGTTCTCTTTTCTCCTCTAGCTATTATTATTACTGGCTCTGCCCATGATTCTAACTTGGATCTGCTAAAGAAACAGTAGGGAGCGATAGTTTTGGTTTTACTTTTGGTTTAGATTTTGTTGTTTCAGTCTTGTGTTCTTTAACAAATAAAGAGGACTCTATGACTGCTTCCTAGATAGCAGTAATTCCTGCCACAAAATAGGAACAAACAACAAAAAAGGTATCACTAAATATTTGATACTTCAGGTAATAACAGAAGCTGTCTTTAACTGTCACTCTTCATTTGGTAGACTATGTTAGATCTTAGTATCTGTCAAAGTCAAGGCAGGACAACTGAGTGTTTATGTCTCTCTCTCTTCTCCTAATCCTAGTCTTCAAACAATTGTCAGAGTTTGGCAGCAGAATGTGAAACAGACTGCTCTGGATAAAAATGATGTCAACCAGGGATCCAACCAGAGATGTCATCCAGAGATGCTCTGGATGAAATGGCTACAAACCCAGTGATATCTGAGGAAATATGCCTGATGCCAGTACTTAATTATCTCCAGTTTATTATTAAAAATGTACTCTTGAATACTATCCTATGCTTTGCCTAAAGAAAGAAGCTAGCCATTCAACCAATAAAACAGTCCAGGTTTGGCGACTCCACCACTTTGCAGAGTTTTTGCCTTTCATGAGGTCCAATTAGCTCAAACTGCCTGCAAGCCAAACTGTGGAAATTGGAGCAGACATTTAAAAAATTACATTGCATTTTTAAAAATTCAGTGTGGTATTTTTCTTGAATATAAAATCCCTAATATATCTTTTCCCTTACTTTGAACCTGACCTAAAATACAGGCAATGACACTTGGTCACAAAATGCACCAAAGTCAGAAAGGTGGGGACAACTGCAACCCTGGGATAAGGACAGGCAAGGCGATTTCATCTGTAGCCACTATCTACGGATAATCTCCATCCACTAGGTGGCACATGTACAGTGGTAAACTATACTAAGGAACCTAATCATTGACCTGGCGTGGTGGCTCAAGCCTGTAATCCCAGCACTTTGGGAAGCAGGAGGATCACTTAAGCCCAGAAGTTCAAGACCAGCCTGGGCAACATGGCAAAAGCAAAAAAAATTCAGCCGGCCTTGGTGGCACACACCAGTAGACCCAGCTATTCAGGAG